>NC_000003.12:124917695-125069210 GCF_000001405.40 Homo sapiens | reverse complement strand
GTGCATGAAGTTTGTGTTTGCACCTGTGGGGTCTATTTCTCCGTAGATCTGGGGATATACATTTTGTTCTCTCTGCCACTGACTGGTAGGGCCTCTTCCTTTACCTCCCACCCCAGTGCCCAACTCCTCCCTTCTTTCCAGTCTCACCTCTCTGCCTGCTAGGGCTCCAAGCCCTGCCTAGACAACAGTCCAGAGAAGAGCTGATCCATGATCAGGGACCCCAGGCAGGGCTTGGAGCCCTAGGAACAGCTAGGGTCTTGCAATTCATAGTCAATCCTTAAAATTAAGTAAGAAAATCTTTATTGACCTTATGCTAGCCACCTACATTCATTATCTCATTTGATTCTCAGAACAATGCAATGATGTAGGTACTCTTTTTCCCCATTTTATAGAAGAGGAAAACTGAGGCTCAGGATAAGTAAATAAGTAATTTACTGAAAGTCCCATAGCTAGGAAGTGACAGAGTCAGATTTGAACTCAGATCATTCACTGGTCACTGTTCATGGGACCCATGGAAGCCAGCACAGTCCTTGTCTTCTCTAAGTCCCCAAGTGCTCCTCCCCATCCTGCCCTTCACCCCTCTTGCCCCACTGTCTAGAACAGGTGTTTGCAAACTACAGCCCCATGGGCCAAATCAAACCCATGGCCTGCTTTTGTTTTAATTGAGGTGAAACTCACATAACATAAAATTAACGATTGTAATCACTGCCTGTTTTTGAAACGAAAGCTTTATTGGAACACAGCACACCCACTCACGCATTGTCGGTGGCTGCTTTTACACTGCAGCAGCAGAGTTCTACAGCTGTTGTGACAGGCACCATAGGGCCCACAAAGCCTAAACTATTTACTATCTGGCCCTTTACAGAAAATGTTTCCTGAGCCCTGCTTTAGATGATTTTGATCTATTCTCTTTAGACAGGACCTGGGCCCTGGGGAACATTTTCTCAGACATCTCTACCTCTATTAAGAAATGCCTGCCCTAGTCAGGCGTGGTGGCTCACACCTGTAATCACAGCACTTTGGGAGGCCGAAGCAGGCGGATCACTTGAGGCCAGGAGTTCGAGACCAGCCTGGCCAACATGTCAAAACCCCATCTCTATTAAAAATCCAAAAATTAGCCAGACTTGGTGGTGCGTTGGTAATCCCAGCTACTTGGGTGGCTGAGGCACGAGAATTGCTGGAGCCCAGAAGGCGGAGGTTGCAGTGAGCCAGATCACACTGCTGCACTCCAGCCTGGGCAACAGAGTGAGGCCCCGTCTCCAAAAAAAAAAAAAAAAAAAAAAAGACATGCCTGTCCTCTCTAAAGGCAAACTCTTCCCCTCTGTTGGACGCCATGCTCCTGTGCCTTACGGACCATCTCCTCAGCGACTCCTGTTTCCCCCTCCTTTCTCCGGTCTCTACCCACACACGGGCCAGTCCTGGCAAATACGCTGGTACCTGATCTGCCAGGTGCCACCCCTGTTCTTTCCTTCTCCTGCGGAGTGCCTGGTGTATATAGTTTGTATCTGGATATTCCACTTTCTCTCCTTATATTTTCCCCCTTCACCTTCTACAATCCGGCTTCTGTCCTTCTGCTAGCCTTTTGGACACATCTCCGTGTGGATGTCTTGGAGTTAAACAAAATTTAAGTCATCTACCCAGCGTCCTCAGTCTTTGCTATTCCTGTGTTATCTATCCTGTTGCCTCAAATTAGTCACTGTGGAGCCATCTTCACCTCTCCCTCTTTCTTTATCTCTGTTCTGTTACCAAATTCCATTGCCTTTTAAGGAGATCTCTCTTGGGTTTCTCCCTTCCTCATTCCCACTGTCAATTCCTTGGTCCAGCCCATCATCACCTTACATCTGAATCACTACTGTGGCTTCTAACTGGTCTACCTTCCTCTCTCTTTTCTGACCTGTCCCCTCTGTCTCATTGTTCAAATACTGAGAGCTCAGATAAAATCCAGGCCCTTGGCGTTTACCTTCCCCATTCTTTCCAGCCTCCTGTCCGCCTCTCCCAATATTCCCTGAGCACACCTGGTCCCCACAGGACTCAGCACCCGTGTAGTACTCTGTCTTTCATGTATAATGTTCTCCTCTGTTTTCTTTGCTTGGGAAACTCCTAAACATCTCTCAGGACAGAGTTCTAATATCTCTAAGAATGCTTTCTCTAGCAACTCTCAATGTCCTTAGAGCACTTGGTTCATACTTATGTGAAATAACTTCCCTTACATTACACATATTTATGGATCCATTTTTTCTCCTAATCTGTTGGCTGGACAAGGGCAGGCACTACATACATCTTCTTCATCTTTGGATAGCCAGAGTAGGTGCTCACTAAATGTTTCTTCTAAACGTTTTATTTTAGATTCAGGGAGCACATGTGCCGGTTTGTTACATAGGTATATTATGTGATGCTGAGGTTTGGGCTTCTTGGGATCTCATTGCCCAACTAGTGAGCATAGTACCTGAGAGGTAGTTTTTCAACCCTGGCCCTCTCCCTTCAATAAATATTTCTTGAGTGACCCTTTGATCATGTCCCTCTACTGCTGAAAGCCTACACTGAGTCTCTATCTCCTAGTGCAGTAAGTTTCAGTTTCAGGTGTGGCCGCACATTAGACCCACTTGGGAAGCCTTGGAAGAACACTGATGTCCGGGCCCCACAGCCATCGATTGTGATGGAGTAGGGGGGTTCCAGGCACTGGCATTTTGTGAAAGCTCCCCTGGCATGGGTGATGTCCAGCCAGGGCTGAGAATCACCGGTTTCATGTAGTTTTCAAGGCTCTCATTCATTTCCCCGTCTCCCCAGGAGGCTCTCAGGAGCTCTTGCCTCAGAACCCCTCTCACATGTTGCTCATCCTCAGAGCCCCCTCGCACTGTAGACCCTTCCTCACTCATATCACTCTCCGTCATTCAGGCTATACTTCCCCCCTCACCCAGGTGGGAGTGCCCCAAGGGCAGGGAGCCTGTAGCTTTGTATCCCCAGAGCACTGAGGACAGGGCTGCCAGTGTGGTGGGTGCTCACAAAGAATCTGTGGGCTGGCTGCTCGAGGTCTCCCCTTGTAGAAACCATCCGGGTGAGGCCTGAGGAAACAACACATTTCACGGCATGAGCCTCAGGACACAAGGTTTGTTTTGGGTGGATGGGGAGGAAGAACTTGGGTGGGAGGGTGCCCTGCCTATCTTCACCAGTGTGTGGACTCCAACAGCCCGCATAAACTAACAGATGATCCATGCTGGCGGAGAGTGAAGAGTCTTAGATTGGCTCTGATGGTCAGCAGACATGGAGTCCTGTCTCCTGCCCACTCTCGTCAGATCCTTGCTATATGAGGTTGGGCAGTGTAAGGTAGAGGATGGGGCACTGGCTGGTGTCTGAAGACAGGTCCAGACCTGGCCTTCTGTGCATCCTCTGTGCATCCTCTGTGGGTTTTTCCTCTGTGGGTTTTTCCTCTGTGCATCCTCGGTGCATCCTCGGTGGGGTTTTCTGTTGCTCATCTAGACCAGGAGCCCCCAACTAATGCGAGCCACCTGGAAGGGGAAAAACATGGCACAGGCCACATGTTCCCACTTGCTCATGTGAAATATAGACCTTTGGAGATTGGACATTTTGAGACATTTCTCTTTTGTGGCCCACAGTGGATCAGGGATTCGGGAGCTCTCATGTCTAATGAAAGTCAAAAGTTCAAAATTTTAAAACAGATAAGAGCATCACATTGTTGCTGTTAATTTTTTCTTTAATAAGAGAAATAAATACATTATTATTATTATTTAACAGGGTCTTGCTGTGTTGCCCAGGCTGGAGTGCAGTTGCATGATCATGGCTCACTGTAACCTTGAACTCTTGGACTCAAGCGATCCTGCCTCAGCCTCCAAAGTAGCTGAGACTACAGGTGCATGCCACCATGCCTGACTAATTTTTATTTCATTTTAGTTTTGTAGAGACAGGGTCTCACTATGTTTCCCAGGCTAGTCTTGAACTCCCGGGCTCTAGCAATCCTCTTGCTTAAGCCTCCCAAAGCATTAGGATTATAGGCATGAGTCACCACACCTGGTCATTATTTTTTGCATGACACCTTAAAAATTTTTTTCCTCATATCCATCATCTCATTTGATTGTTACAGTTACCCTGTGAGGTAGTAATGCCTACCAATGACAGGCATTACCGTTCATATTTTACAGATAAGAAAACTGAGACTCACTGAGGTTAACTGATTGGCCTAAAGTTGTAGAACTAGAGAATAGAGAAGCCAGAAGGAAGACTCGTGTTCTGTCTCGTACTCCAGAGCCCTTTTATGAAAACATCCCACTTGGCCATCCCCATCTTTCCAAATGGAAATAGTTTTCTTTGTTCTTTCCTGATTATAACAGTAATACATGCCATCAAAAGACACATACATGAATTTTAACAGCAGCCTATTTGTAACAGCTGCAAATGGAAACTACCCTAATACCTATTAACAACTGAAGAGAAATTGCGGGATAGCCCCACAATGGCCACCACCTCACAAAGACAATGAAGAGTCCATGCCTACATGCAACAAAGAGCGTGAAGTCCTGAACAGTAGAAGCTAGACACAAACTAATCCATATGACTGCATTTCACTTCCATAACATACAAAACCAGGGATTTGGTCTTTTATCAAAGACAGGAGTCCATGCTGAGAGAAGTGAGGGCAGTGGTGACGCATGTGGGGGAGAATATTGAAAGGCAACATAAGCAAGTTTTAGTCCAAGATGTGGCTACACAAGTGTGTTCAGTGAGTGAGATTCTTGGAGCTCTGCATGGCATTTCATGGGCACTTTTTCACGGGCATTGATATGGTTTGGCTTTGTCCCCACCCAAATCTCTTCTTGAATGGTAGCTCTCATAATCCCCATGTGTCATGGGAGGGACCTGGTGGGAGGTAATTGAATCATGGGGGTGGGTTTTTCCATGCTGTTCTCATGATAGTGAGTAAGTCTCACGAGAGCTGATGGTTTTATAAAGGGCAGTTCGCCTGCACACACTCTCTTGCCTGCGGCCATGTAAGATGTGACTTTGCTTCTCCTTTGCCTTCTGCCATGAATGTGAGGCCTCCCTAGCCATGTGGAACGGTGAGTTCATTAAACCTCTTTTTCTTTATAAATTACCCAGTCTCATGAACTTCTTCACAGCAGGATGAAAATGGACTAATATAGGCATCGTATTTTAATAAACAGTTTTAAAGAATTACACATACTCTTATAAGAAATTCAGACAACACTAAAGAATACAAACATTTTTCAATCAATTTTAGAACTAAACACCAGAGAATGTGAAAGTCTATTCCACCAACCTAAGAAAAATGTATCTAGTTCTGTATCAACAGTCACTTAAGGAGAAGAAACAGAAGAGGGAAGGAGAAAAAAATGGGGATGAATTGATTGGAAGTAAGGCAGACTGATGGAGAGGTAGAGGAGTGGCTAGGCTGGGAAGCACTTGGTGACACAAAGGGAGACTTGAAGAATAGAGACTGAGAGACCCAGAAACAGACTCAAGAAGAGATACCTGCGAACAGAGAGTGACAGCAGAAAAGCCAACAGAATGAGGGCCCAGGGGGCTGGAGAGGAAGAAGAACACATCCAGACTCACAGAGGGAGTGAGGTAGAGAGGCGTGTGGATATTGCACCCGACTGTCAACCTGGACTGTGTGGGGAGAGGAAATCATTGCTGCTTTTTGAAAGTCAGGGGAGCTTTGCAGTCATGTGGAAACACTGCATTTCCAGTGACTCCATCAGAGCCTGGCGCTTGGGACATGTTCAGCAAATATTTGTTGAGTGAGTGACTGATGAACAGATGATTGAAAACTCAGGTCCCTCTGCCCACAATGGGAGCTCCACCTCTAGACTTTCTGCTCCTTCCCTGGGGCCCTGGACACTCTGCCCAATGTTGTGGCATCCCAGGAATTTCCCTGCTTGCTGTGGGGAGGATGTTTCACACTGGAAGGTTTTGCAAAATAGGACTGCTTTATCAGAATCCTGTTGCACCGGAGAATGTTCCTGGCTCATTGATGTTTACAGTGTGTAACCACTTTTATCAAAGGAATGTTGTTTGGAATGGAATGGTCCTCTCAGATGGGCAGACAAGAAACGGAAGGTCATTTGAGGACCTGCCCCAAGCTGTGTTAAGTTGGAGCTCCGGGTTGCTGTGTATGATGTTTGGGAGCCTGGCCAGCCCATGAGCAACCCTTCCTCCCTGGAGGAGGTTCCAGCCAGTTTTCAGAGGAATTGCAGTGTTTACATTCTCACCTTGGACCTGCAAGGCAAACACCCCCGGAGCTCAGCACTGGTGGGTGGAGAAGCAGCAAGGGCTCCCTATGCCCGGGGTCCAGCAAAGAGGTCAATGCAGCCTGGACAAAATGACACTGGTCCTGACATTCCAGAAAGGAGAGAATAAGGCTTCTTCTGGGGGGTTAAAAATAGGGAGATGGGTTTATTCCTTTCGTTCTTTGGTGAAAATCCCAATGCACCTGCTTCTTGGAGCTCTGAACAAAATAGTGCAGATGTAGCCCATGTGCCATGGAGGGCTGGAATTCTGCTCTTCTGTGACATCTCTGGTGCTGTGGGGCCAGCTCTGCAGCTCCTGTCTTCAAGAGTTCTTCATGTACCTTGGGGCAGAGAAAGGGACTGAATGGGAGGCAGAGATGGAGGCTGAGGCAGGAAGGGAGGAAGAGTCAAGAGAGGTCACAAGGTTCTGTTCTTGTGGGAGGGAAACCTGCCCTGCAGCAGGAGAGGGCTGGGGTGCCCCAGCTCTGCCCAAGGATGCCGGTCAGCAGAGAGGAGCAAGTGGGAGAGCAGCTGATGCCGCAGCATACTCTCACTATTGGTTTATCTTCACCAGTCCCCATGGGCCCGTGACAGCGCTGGGCATGCTCGGACATTTCTCTCCCTCTCTACAACCATTTCTAAATGTCTTAATGATAATGGATAGAATTATGTCTCCCCAAAAGATATGTTCAAGCCCTAACTTCTGGTATCTGTGAATGTGACCTTATTTGAAAATAGCGTCTTTGCAGATGTGAATAAAATAAGATCAGACTGGATTATAAGGGGTCCTAAATCCAGTAACAGCGTCTTTCTAAGAAGACCATGTGAAGACAGACACACACAGTGGGAAGAAGACCACATGATGATTGAGGCAGGGGCTACAAGCCAAGGAACAGCAAGCATTGCCAACCACCGCCAAAGCTAGGAAGAGGCAAGGAAGAGCTCTCTCCTGGAGCCTTCAGAGGGAGCATGGTTCCGCTGACATCTTGATTTCAGAATTCCAGCCTCCACAACAGTGACAGGATACATTTCTGTTGTTTTAGGCCACCCAGTTTGTGGGACTTTGTTACAGCAGCTCTAGGAAAAGAATACATTGGTGTTTCTCAAAATTTCAAATCCCTCAGGCCCGCCCCTACATTCCCTCCACTCACAGCAAGTAGCCTCTCTTACAAGTCAAGTCCCCTACTTTACCAAGAAAACTGAAGTCCCCAGAGGGAAGTCCAGGCCCTGCAGTGCCCCACGCTCTCCTCTTTTCCTCCTCCCAGGCCAGTCTGTCCACCTGGGCTACGGAGTCCATCCCCTCCTGCTTCTCAGAAACCTTATCCCATCACCTTTGACTTTCTCCCTCCCACACAGACCATTTTCACGTCCAAATGTTCCCCCTAAAAACAAGAACTCCCCTCTACTCATTCCCCTGTACTTACTGTCCCAGCTCACTCTCCCCCTTCAGAGCCAAACTCTCTTGAAAAGTTATCTCCACCAGCTCGGCTTCCTCAGCTCTCGCTCCTCCCACTGTTCTCCATGTGGATTCTGCTCTGAACACTCCTCTGAAGTCACTTTTGTTATGATCACCAGTGACTTCTATGTTGCTAAAACGAATGGCTATTTTCAGTCTTCACCTCACTTGACCTTTCGGCAGGATTGCACACTGTGAGCCAGGATCTCCTTCCCTTTGCTGGGGTGATGTAACCTTCTCCTGGGTTTTCTCCTATCTCTCAGTGGCTCCTTTCCAGTCTTTTTTCTGGCTCAGCCTCCTCTCCCAGCCATTTCATGTTGTGTCCCCCAGGACTCATTTTCAGCCTGTCTTCTCTGACTATGATACTCTCTTCCCTACTTAATTCCATCCCCTTGTACTCCAAACCTTAAACTTGGACCTCTCCCTTCAGTTCCAAGTCTGCAGATTCAAATAGTTCTTGTCCACCGTTCCCTCTCCTTGTGAATGGTACCACCATCCATCCAACCCATGCAAACCAGAAACCTGAGAAACCTTGCCACTCTCTCTCTCTCCCTCATCCTCCATGTCCATCAACATGTCTGGTGGATTTTACCTACTGCAATCTCTCACATCCATATTCTCCTCTGAATTCACTTCTATTACTCTTATCCAAGAATTATCACTTCCCACCTGGACTCCAAGAGTCCGGGCATGAGTTCTTGTTTCTTTCTAAATTATTCCTCTTATTATAGTTAGAATGATGATTTCCAATCCCAAATCATGTCACCCCTCGCCCCTTAACTCCTCCTCCTCCTCCTCCACCTTCACTGTACTCTACCTTCTCTACTTAACACTTTATAATGACTTCCTTAAACTCTTAAAATAAATAAAAAATCCTTAAAATGAGCTGTTAGGTCTCCCTGATTTAGTTCCTATCAAAGTCTCCAGGCTTACCTCCTTCCATGCTCTTCCTCACTCTCTACCTCAGCCACAATGGCTCTCTTCCAGTCCTTTCCATGCATCCCACTTCCTCCTGCCTCAGGTGCTTTGCATATACTCTCCCCACTCTGCTTCGCCTGGTTAACAGCCTACACAGCTTTCGGATCAGGGCTCAATTTCATGTCCACAGGGAAACCCAGCACACCCTCCTGAGTGCTCTCCTTCGAGCACTTACACATGACAAGTTTACATTTATACTCTTAATTACTGTCTGTCTCCTCCAAACCCTTAAGCTCTACGATGTCACAGACTTGCCCAGCACTCAGCACAGTGCTGGGCACAGTGTAGTCACTCAGTAAATATTTGTTGAATGACTAAATAAAAGAAAGTCTTATGTTGGATTTTGAGGATATAAAGATGAATAAAGCACAGAGCATCCCAGAAAGCACCTTGTAGATTGAGAGTGGGAGGGGACAAGCAGATGAGAGGATGAGTAAACAGACTCAGGGTTTAATAGGGTGATGAGCAGATAACAGAGAAGCCGGCCAGATGCCCCAGTGGAGACAGTGATCTGTGGGCCCAGCCTACCTGTCCCTAGGTGAAACTCAATCCAGGGGTCTATTAACTGATCTGTCAGCCCTCAGGGACCCGTAGTCACCAGAGTCCTGAGTGTCCGTAGGATATTACTGCTGTGCATCTGGCACTGCATCCCAGCCATGGCAATGCCAACCCACGTGAAATCCTGCACAGGCACCATCCTCAGGAACTGGGCACACCGTGGGGCCAGGTTAGAATGCAGTGTTATAAAAGGCTCTGGCTACAATAAGGGCATCATGCAGAGCACTTTAGTCAGAAGAGTTCCTGGTGCCTTCTGGTCAGTGATCTCATCATATCCTCAGGACAACCCCAAGAGGCAGCAGAGGGAAATGATTTTTCTCCCCGCTAGGCAGCTAAGGAGACAGATCAATAGAGATCACCTGACTTGGCCAAGAAATGAGAATCGCTTTGGAACAGAACTTAGAGAGAACCCAAGGTCCTCTCTGTCAAGTCTACCAGTCAGACCAATCAGCAGAGGAGGCCTCCTCAAGCTGCAGGTCTGCTGTGGCAGGAACCTGCACAGTTTGTTCACTTTGGTGTGGAAGGACATTTCATGGCCCCTTCACACCACTGAATGTTAGATTAGATGGGCCTTGAGAGATCATTTGATTCAACACCCTCATAAAGAAGGAAACTGAGACCAAAAGATGAATCTTTTTACTCTCCCTTTCTTTCCCTGCCCTACTGATATCTAGAGGTAGGGCAGAGATGGTTAGCGGTCTACCCAAATCCCTTCTCCCCTTCTTTGCCTGTATGGTTAGACTACATTTCCCAGCCCCCTGTGCAGTTGGGTGAGCCATGTGACCATGCTCTCTCCAGTGGAATGTAAGAGGAGATGAGGCACTTCCAGACCGGGCCCACCAAAACCTCCTCTGCTCACACCACCACATTCTTTTCACCTCTGGCTGACTGGGATGCCAATTCCCAGAGCAACTTTGGAAGCCATACTAGAGTATGGCAGAACCACCATAACGTGGATGCATAATGTGGATTCTTGTTCCTTTAACAGCCTTAGACACTGATGTTCAGCTCAATGGACAGCTTCTTCACACAGCCTACTGAGCTGAACATCGGTGTCTAAGGCTGTTAAGGTAACAAGAATGAAACACATGGTGCTAAGCTGCTGCATCTGGGTGGCCTATTTGTTACTATAGCCTAGCCTAGTCTGATTAACACAAGTAGAGGCAGGAAACCCCTGGCGAAAGCTCTGACTACATCAAGTTTCAGGTGGCAAAGACACTGGGCTCCCTGCTGATTTCACTGTCAATTACATTGGGGTGCCCCCACTCCTACCTGTGGAGAGGTTAGGAATGCCTGTTAACTCACTCAGTCCTGGAATTTGTTCTGGGCTGTCTTCCCACCTGTTTTATCCTAGATCAACAGATTCCCAGGGCTGGAATGGGTCTGAGAAGTCGTCTGATTTATGACCCTGGCTCCAGATAGGACCTCTCAAGCTATCTGAGATGATCAAGAATCTTGTCTGGATTTTCATATCCCTGGGAAGAAAACACTACAAATGTTCTTAGATAACTGTTTTAGTCTATGGCTGTACCACCCTAAAAGTGCCTGATATTTTCTGATCTCAGAAACTAAGCAGGCTTGAGTCTGGTTAGTACTTGGATGGGAGATACCTATTTCATACCTCCTTGCTACTGTGCCAGAAGTTCTTTACTGAACTCTAAAACATCAGAGCTAGAACACTCCTTAGCAATCATCCAGGACCATCTTTGTTTTAGAGATTGGAAACTATGGCCCAATCACACAATTAAACAGTGGTAAAGGCCAGAAAAGAAGCAAGGGCTCTAGGACCAAGTCAACTGTTCTTTCCAAGGTTCTATACTGCATCCAGTTCTCTCTTGCTGTCTTGCTGTTTTCTCTTGTTCTGCCTTAGGAGGAGAAGAAAAAGAGCTGAAATCCATCTACACCTTGATCAATCTTTCCAAGTTCTCCCTGTGTGTCCCTCTCCTAATCTGCTTGTTAAGCCCTTTCTAGCTGACAGTTACCCTGAACTCGGTCATTTCTCTTAGAAGGCAGAGAGAAGATTAGAGAGAGATAAACCTGTGGTACTTAAAGTGGGGTGGGATTGGGGGGTGGGGGAGGATTGGGGGGAGGTGGCAGGTACATGTTTACTCCTTGGGTCTTAGTAGAGAAGGCAGATTATCTCATAGGATCCCTGAATCCACACGAGAAGCCTGTAAGGGCCATTCTACCCTTAAACCTTTCCACTTGCCTGGGAGTGCAACCAGTACTATGTGACATGGTCTCCTTGGAGGGGAGGGAGTGGCAGTGACCAGAACCTCTGAGCACAGTCCTAGTCTGTTGGGGCTTGTCTGGCTGGGTCTGGGCAGCTGTGCAGTCCTGCCTGTTAATGTGAGAGCAGCATCCAGAGAAGTTAAGCTCAGGCCATGGGAGCAAACCAAGTCAGTTTCAGGGAGATTACTGTTTGGTACTTTCTTGGAGAGACCTGGAAGTTCTGTGTTAGAGCCCTGGAAAGCTGGTTTGTTTAAAAACAAAACAAAATAAAACCAAATCTTTACTCCTCATTCTCTCATTTAAGGTGAGTTTGTTTATACACAGCCTCCTTTATGTTTTTCTGCCAAATGACTCACTTGTACTGAGTCACCAGAAAGTGGGCCTAGGCCCATCTGCAGCTGCCCTGGACACTACGATCTCATTCTCCTGGAGGTGGGTCATGGAGATCTGGAGACAGAGAAAAAGAGAAGAGCAGAGAAATAGGATGGAGAGCCAGGCCTGACAGTGAGGTGCATACTCATATTTTCACGAGCATTTGGTTGTCAGACAGGGGCCCCCAACAGAACTCGCAAGAACCCCAAGGAGCTGCAACATTTGTTTCTGTTGCAATACTATTTGTTTCCGTTTGCGAATTATTGCAAACTCTGAATTAGGAGACCAGAATTAATAATATCACATGGTCATTCACAGATCAATCATTTCGTCTTCGGGTCTACCTTCAGAATCTTGAGCAAGTTATTTTCCCATTTGAGCCCCTCTTTCTTCACTTAATGAGGTGGCTTACAGTCCTAAACTTTAGACAGTTTATTATTCATTTACTGGGGAGGGAGAGGTTATGGAAACAAATGGAACTTTATTGACCAAGAAAATTTGTTTACATGAAATCTTTGAATCTTTCCCCATAGGTTTCCATTTAAAATTCTGTGTTCTCTGGGCATCATTTGGTTTAATTTGCGATCTGCAGTTCTTTTCCTGATGATGAGTTTGCCCTAGCCTGCCTGAATTCACAGTTTTCTTTTCCCTGCAGCCTGTTTGGGTGTCCTCGCGGTGACATCTCTGCAGAACTCTGGTGTGAGCCAAAGGCAGTGGTCGGATGGGAACGGCATCCAAGCTTGAGAGGGCGTGGGGGATACTCGGATTCTCGCGTTGGCCGGAGGGTGAGGTGTTAGGTTTGGCAAACACGAGCTCATCACCAGCCCTGGGGCCTGAAGAAGGGGAGGTGGGGGTGGGAGTGGGGACACTTCAAATCAATAACGGCGGTGACAGCGCGGGCTGGGTACCAGGGGACCGTTCCCTTTCTCTCTCCTATCAAAGCACTTGGGATAATCTAGTCTGGTGCTAATCACATTACCCAGGACCTGCTTTTCACCTACTTCTTGTGCGTTTAAGGAGTTGGGTAGGTGGTGCCCGATTCAGAAGACTCTGGAGCATGTGTGTGACAAAAGTTGCAGCACCGTGGCTCCGCTGACCTCATCCCGCTGTCCCGGGCCGGGCCGCTCTCCAGGCGCCCGGCCCCAGCCCCCTTCCTGCCCTCTCCCCGCCTCCGGGCCCGCCGCGCGGGGCCGGTGATGTCAACTGAGGAGGAGCCGCCCGCCAGCCAGCGACCCGCCCGGGCTAATTAGCATGTAGCGGCGCCGCGGGCCGCCTCCGCCCAGCCAGCCCGGCCCCCGGCAGCCCTCCCGCGGCTCCCGATAACTTTTGAGGCGGGGAGCGCGCTCGCAGCCTCACTCCGCTCACTTCCCCGGCCCCGCGCGGCCCCCGCCGCCCGCTGCCCGCTGCCCGCTGCCCTCGCCCCGCGCGCCGGGCATGTGAGCGCGGGCGGGCGCCGTCACCATGGCCTCGCCGCGCGCCTCGCGGTGGCCGCCGCCGCTCCTGCTGCTGTTGCTGCCGCTGCTGCTGCTGCCGCCGGCGGCCCCCGGGACGCGGGACCCGCCGCCTTCCCCGGCTCGCCGCGCGCTGAGCCTGGCGCCCCTCGCGGGAGCGGGGCTGGAGCTGCAGCTGGAGCGCCGCCCGGAGCGCGAGCCGCCGCCCACGCCGCCCCGGGAGCGCCGCGGGCCCGCGACCCCCGGCCCCAGCTACAGGGCCCCTGAGCCAGGCGCCGCGACACAGCGGGGACCCTCCGGCCGGGCCCCCAGAGGCGGGAGCGCGGGTGAGTGAGAGCCGGGAACCTGGCGCCTGGCCAGTCTGTGCTGGGGGCGTGGGCGCGCCCCGGGCTGCATCCCCAGCCGTAGGCCCCTCCGCGCGGCGCGACCCAGGGTGGGGGCTCCTCGCCCGGCGTGTGCGGGACCCTGAGGGTCGGCGGGTAGGGAGGGACGCTTTCGCAGTTGGCTGGACTGAGGGGTGTGACTATCCCGTTCTCCTCCAACCCTTTGGAAGAAAACTTATTTCCTATGGGGTACCCTGTATCTCTTCCACCCCACTTTAAAAAAAATGGAAAGGAAAGGGAAAAAGACTGCAAAGCATCTCTCCCACCTCCGATATCTGGCCAGCCGGTCCCCAGTTTCATTTTTTCCGCTATACAGAACTGGCCTCTCCAGGTACAGGGCTCGACTTTCTCATCTAAATAACTGATTTTTAAGGGGTTCTAGGACGGGATATTGTAAAGGACAAAGGATGTACGTAGTTTGAAACAAAACGCTCTACTGGTTCGACTTAAAAGCAAAGGAACGCGGTTGGGGTTGCATGGTTGAACCCCTGCAAGGCACAGGCTGATACAGGACCATCCCTGAGCCTCCTCCCTCCCCTTTCCTTTCCCAATGAACTGTTGCTCCGTGGTAGCCACCGCCTGTCCCACGCAGAGAGAAGGAACTGACCTCTTCTCCCTGCTACCTTTGTGTCCAGTTCTTTCTTATGATCTGGAAAAATATGCCACATACTGAGTGGAATTCTAACCATAATACCATTATGACCTTGGGACTGCTGTCTCTTTGCGCTCACTTTCTCCATCTGTGAAATGAAAGTGATGATCCCTGTTCCTTCTAGCCTCCTAGTGATGATGTGACAAAATGAAAGTAAAAATAAATGGAAAGTGCTTTGAACAAAGTCAGCAACGTGGTGGTGTTAGCCTTTGCCTTCCTGTGAGTGACACAGGGCATATGCTCTGTCCGGGCTATTCAAATAAGCTGGGTTGCTTGCAACACTGGACATTGATTTGGAGTTTCCCTGAAAGTTGAGTTTTTTGTCTGCATAATTGACAATTCATTTAAGTTTCTCATCTCATGCAGACTTTCTGGCACGTGAATTAGCTTGCTTCCTCCAACCTAGAGGTGCTTCTTAGAGTTAAATAAGAAAAAGTTTGGATTTTTAAAAATCAAGTTCTCCTGTAAAAACTCAATTTCATATTCAACAGTATTCCCATTATCGCAAAATGCCTTATTTTGTGAATTTTTAAATCACTGGCATAAGATTGAGAAACCGAGGAACAGTAAGAAAAGGGAGAGGAGAGATAAGCTTCTGAAGACGTGTAGGAGACACATCCCGGAGTGACTGTGACTTTAGATTACTTACAGCATACGCTGTTTTGCTAACTTCCACGGGAAGGAATCAAGAACATAAAACAACATATTTCCCGACTTTCTCCAACTAGGAAAGTAACTGAGGAACACTGTGTAGTATTTTGTGAGTTTTTCTAAACAGAAGGTGAACTGCAGAGAACTGAGAACATTTCAGAGGAGACACCCAAGAGCCGAAGGCAGATTTCTCTGGGTAGTAGTCAGGCTGTCTTAGCTGAATGGCCTCCATCTTGTTAGGGGATAGGTGGGAGGGACACTGACTTGCAGGGGCCCTGGCTGGATGGGGCAGGCACATGAGTCTCTTTCCTTCTCTTAGGGGCGGGATCTCTAGAGAGAGGTAGGTATTACAGGTATTACAGAGAGGTAGGGACAGTGGAGGCAGCTAGCTTAGAGGACTCAGCTGGTAAGAATTGGGGCCTTATGTGACCCAAACATCCCTCACAGGTGTGGCAGGTAACACTGCTGGTCTTGGTTTTGTGGCTTTCCCAGTTTGATTCCTTTGCAGAGGTGAGTGATGGAGGCTTCAGGTATATGAGGTACTGGAAGGAATACATGTGAGAATCCCAGAAAGCAGCGAGAGAGTAGTTGGAATAGTGTACACCTTCTCTTACCTAGGTAGGTTCTCTTGGTCTCCTGGTGCCCCACAGACACCACCCAAGGAGTGCCTCCTCTTCAGTGGCTCAAAGGCCCAATCTCTGAAGGGATGTTAGGAAGGTGCGATTAGAAGAGATGAAATGAACACCTGTTGAAGCTGCTAGAAGCTACTCATATGGCCAAGGATCTAGGCATGACCTGTGCTTTTTTTTCTGGTAGTGGCTCAAACAGTATCATTTAGGGGTAAAAAAGAAACAACACATAAGAAAACCAGTGTTCAGTGATTTCAGTGAGTCTGAGTTTTCTGATAACCAGGATTGGGAGCCTTTTGGATGGGTCCTCCTGTATCACTAGATGCTATCACTCATTTCACAAGGCAGCAAGGTCTCAATGCTGAGAGGGCCTCCACAGGTCCTCCAGTCTGCAATGTGTCCCATGCAAATGTCTGCCCCTCCAGCACCCCTGACAGATGGTCATCCCGGCTCTCCCTCAGCATTTTTGTGTTTGGGGAGGCACCATGCTACTGTCACTAACAAGCCCTGAGTCTTACAAGTAACGTGCTCCATTTGGTTGTTGGAGAAGCTTCCTGCAGGCCTTTCGTGCCATGGGGATGCTGGTAGTCAGGGCCTGGCCCCTGGGACTTCCAAATACACTGATGTCAGCAGCAAGGGCCACAGATGTCCTTTTCTTCCCTGTGGGCCATTTCCAGCTCTTCTCTTCCTGGCAGAGTTCAACTTCTCACTGCTGAGTAACCGCGTTTGCATTCCATTATGTGGATTGTTTGCCTGTATTAGACTGTAAGTCCCTGGAGAGCAGCTCCCTGTTTATATAGCCATTGTTAAGCTTTTGCACCCACCCGTCACCCTGCTGGCTGTTCAGCTGATGTTTATTGCTGGTGTTTCAGCCAGTGGTGACAAGATGCTGAGACCTAGAGGTTTTCTTTTTCTGCGTGTGTTTTTCTACCACTCAGGACTTCCGAGCCACAGTTCTAAGCTGAATGCAAAGTTTATATGCCTTAATTTTGTGATCCATATGCTATGCTTTAATTGTGAGATCTGCAGATGAGAGGGAGAGAAGGCTTAAATCATAATGAAAATCAATGCAGAAGGAAAGAACTTTCCCACCCAAAGGGGAAATGACGCTGAGTAGCTGAGCAGCCAGCCCGAGAAACAATAATCTTAGAAAAATGCAGCTCCCTGGAGGAAAGGAAGCGCTTTGAGCTGAGCCCCGTCTGAGCTGTTAAATAGCTGTCGCCTGAATTGCTCTAACTTTGTGGGCCAACTTCGTCATTTAGCTTGGCTGCTGGGAGAACCATTACAAGGTGCAGCGGGCAAGAGACAGCCCCTCAGGGAGGGGAGAGTGGCTTCCCTCCAGAAGGCGGCTACCTCACTCCTGGCGGAGGCTTGGGGGTGGTGGTAGTGGGGATTCCTGAGAAGCCTGTTTGCTTTGATGGAGGGTGTCCCAAATAGAAGGGGGGGAGGCGGGAGGGGGCAAGGGACTCTCCGTGGTGCATGAGTGTTTAAAAGCCACATCCTTTTTACCTTGCAAGAACCCTTTTATTGCTTTCCTCAGCCTGTGTGCACATGCTGAACTGTTATGTTTTGCCAGAGACCCGAATGGTGTGGACTGAGGGAGACTGAAAGGTATTTGCTGCCCAGCTGGGCAGTTTCTGCATCCTTGTCCTGGAGGCTGGGGAAGGAGCCTCTGCCCTCCTGGTGATCCCTCCTGCCTTCCAGCAGCCCCGCCCAGCTGGCTGAAAACAGTGTTCCTGAATTTAACTTGTCCTTGTCCAGAGACACTCAGAAAGAAAGCAAAGAACAGATGGCAGTTGTGGTTTTGTTAGCCACTTACTGCCTTCTTCAGTGGCTTCCCTCTGTCTCCAGCGTCCTTTTTGTATGAATGGGAGGTTTCAGCTGCAGTAAATATTCTCTTCCAAGAATCCTGGGGAGGCAACAAGGAAGGAAACTAGTTTTGGGGTCTGACTTTTGACTCCCTGGCCTTTGAACACGTATGTGTGGTCGGCGCCTTCACACTCCTTATCCATTTAATCCTCAAAACAAGCCCGTGAGGGATGTTATTTGCCTTTTACAGTTCTGGAAACAGTAGCCTGGAGAGGTTAGATCACACGGTAAATGGAGGCGGCAGGATTTTAATAGATTTTGACCAAATCCATGTGCTTGTCCCACAATATCAGGAGGTCTCAGTTTTCTCATCTGTAAAATGGGGTACCAGTTGTCCTAGATCTCTAAGATCCTCTCCTGCTCATCATTCGTCTTCCTCCCTCCCTCCATTCCTTGCTCTTGCTTTTTTGTAGAGATTAGGGGCCAGCATTGGCGTGGGGAAAATATGAGGAGATGGCAGTGGCAATGAGGACACCTATTGAGTAAAAATTTTTTAAAAATTTTGTTTGAAATTACCTGAGACAAGACCACAAGTCTTTAAAATGACATTTTATATAGAGATTGTAAATTATGCCCTACTCATATGCCAATCCATAGGTTATTGATGCCAGAGGTTGCTGCATTAATTATAAGCCAAGCTGAAATGAATTGGTGACTTTCTTAATGGGCCCTCTCCTGGGAACGTGGAGCAGTGGCTGACATTGTGAGGCAGTTGTTATGAATACCTGCCCAGTAGGAGGCGAGGTTAAATGGTACTCCATGCAGATGCTGTCAAATTGCTTTCATTTGAACATCTATGCTCTCTTCTACCCACTCACCATTCATCAGGCATAGACAGAAACAAAGACATTTCTATCCTGTTTTTTCACTCTTCTTTTGTTGGAGTGTGGCAGATGCCTCTATTTGTGTCACATTGGACTGATTTGTAAATCAAGATATATTTACAGAAGCCTTGCTATGTGGAAGAGCCGTGTGAGGTGATGAGGTTGCAGTGCCTGTCTGTGATGCCCCCAGGGAACATTCAGTCTTGTTGGAGCACACACATCAAGATTGTAAAAAGCGAAATAACGATGCATGAGTGATTCACAACTGAAGAAATGCCACAGGAGATCATACTGACCAAAGGAATGGTGAGGGTGGAAATGGGCTGCTGCATGCAGACGTGGAGACCACTGGGGGCTGGATAGTCCAGGGAGACTTCAGTGGGAAAGGGGGGAGTTGATTTAACTTTGAAAGTTGACTGGGATGTGGATAGACAGGGAGGTGGAGGATGGGCTGGGCATGATGGCTCACGCCTGTAATCTCAGCACTTTGGGAGGCCAAGTCGGGTGGATCACTTGAGGTCAGGAGTTCCAGACCAGCCTGGCCAACATGGTGAAACCCTGTCTCTACTCAAAATACAAAAATTAGCTGGGCATGGTGGCATGTGCCTGTAATCCCAGCTACTCAGGAGGCTGAGGCATGAGAATCGCTTGAACCTGGGAGCCGGAGGTTGCAGTTAGCCGAGAGTACACCACTACACTCTAGCTTGGGCAACAAAGTGAGACTTCATCTCAAAAAAAAAAAAAAAAAAAGAGAGTTGGTGGATGAATGGCATCCACAAAATCCCAAATATTGAAAAGCCCAAGACTTTTCAAAAGGGAGGTGATCAACAGTCAGTAAGGCTGGAGAAAAGGACTTGAAGAGGCCAGTTAGGCTCCCAAATCAACTAGTCATTGAAGACAAGACTGGAAAGGAGGATTAGACCTGATTGTGGAGGGCTTTAGAGGCCTGTTAAGGTGTTTGTTTTCATCCCATCCACACCAAGGAGCCCCTGATGGCTTCTGAACAGGGAAAGCATAATTAGCTTGTTCATTTCTGCTTGGAGCTGGGGCCTCATAGATGAACCACATACATATCTGCCCTCACTACAGCCCCGTAGTTGTTTAAGAGACACTGGAATGCTGGTGGGCATCGTATTGATGTGTTGGGAGGAAAGACTGAGGACAGAGCATGGGTTAGAGTGGAGGTAGTGGAAATTGAAAGGGAGAGATGCAAGGGCCACTTAAAAGAGTAAGGCTGGAGTAGTAGACTGCCTGGCCACGGGGATGATGGGACAGAATGGAGAGGAGCTCTTTGCTTTTAAAGGGGCTCCTTCAGTTTCAGCCGTTCAGTGTAAAGACTGCATGTCCCCTTGGAAGTATTCTGTGGATGGTTGAGAATGTGGAACTGAACTAGAGGGAGGCCGGGGCCAGATTCAGCCCTGAGGGGCAGTAGTTAAAGCCACGGAGGAAGAGGAAATCAGCTCCAGTCAGGTGGAGAACATCCAGTATGGATGGTGGGGAGGAAGGGATGCCAGCCCGGCATGAGGGCGCAATGAGAGGTGGGGGTGGCTTGCAGGTTGGCTGTGGATTGGCAGATAATCTGAATATAGCATGGTTTATGCATCATATGTGGAGGTCTGTGAAGGTCCATGTAAGTTAACATATTTCTGCTTTCTGTCTTGATTTGTCCTCTCATCTGGAAACTATCCAAGTTAAAAGGCAGAGGGAGACTGGGGAGAATGAGGTCTGGGGAAAGGCCTCTGGCCTCCATTCTGAACTGTTTAGTGGGACTCCTAAAAGTGCAGGAAGAAGCCTGCCTACCGTATGATAGGCATGGAAGGCCTGTCTGTGGCAAAGTTTGATGGTGAAATAAAAGAGGAAAATCAGAGAGAATCAGAATCCTTGATTCTCATCCCCTAACCCTGTGTCAACTCCTGCCTCTTCCCATGTCGGCAGTTAGCAACAACATGCACCTAGTTCCTTAAGCTAGAAGCCTAGAAGTCACCCTCCATTCCTCTCCTTTCCTCACCCACTACCGTGATTCTTTTTTGGCAACTCCAGGTGATCCTGTTTCCAGAATACATGGTGAATCTGCTCTCTTCCTCCCCACTGCTCTTTTCTGTTGTTTGCATCCACTTATGCTCTCTCTCTAATCTGTACTCACAGAAGCCAGAGTGATCTTCTTAAAATGTAACTCAGGTCACCTTACTCGGAGGCTTAACACCCTCAAAGAGCTTTGCGTTGTACTTAGAATAAAATCCAGACCCCCTAAATTGGAATATGAGGCCTGCAGGATCTGACTGGCCACCTCTCTCACCTTCTCTTGCTCTGCTCTCCACTTACACCAGACAGTTGTTAATACATGCCAAACTCATTCCTGTCTTGGAGACTTGGCACATGGCATCCCCCTGCCTATAGCAGCAAGAGCCTTCCAGGCAGGGGGAGCAGCCAGGGCAGATGATCTAAGGCAGGACCCAGCTTGCCTTGTCTCAGGATTGGCAAGAAGGAAGGCCAGGGTGTCTGGATCACCCAGGGCCATGAGGACCATGGTAAGGAGGTCGATTTTCCTCTAGGTGCCGTGGAGGGTCCTGCAGCAGGGTCTGCACCACCACATGGTATGGGGCTCTGGTTGCAAGGTCTCTTAAGGAGCTGGAAAGACCATCTGCAAAGTCTAGAGGCTATTAAAAATGGACAGTTTCCTTTTGCTTAATATTTTAGCTCTGAGGTACTTGAACTTCATTCTAGCTTTCATGTCATGTAAACGTTTTTGAGGAAAGCTTACAGGTCAGATGGCATGGGAGGCAGACAAGACTTCAATCCCAATTCCTGGGATGTCTCGGGGGACTTGAGGGAGGATCTGACCTCACTGAAGACCCTGAATAACAGGAGCCCCCATCTATCTGTGCAGAGAAGGTGCTGAAGGCAAAGAAATGGATTTGATAAGTTGACAAGTTTCTTCTTGATGTCTCTGATAGGCTGGGAAATGAAGATAGGGGAGGAAGAAAAGTGACAAGAAGAGGGCAGAGGCCAAGGTGAAGCTCTTCAGGTGGCCCTGCAGTTCCACCTTGGAACTGAAGAATCAAATTGGAGGAAGGAGTAGCAAGAGGCAGGAGAGAGACACCTGCTTGTCATCTGGAGGGAGGTTCCTAGTGCAGGGCTGTGACTAGTGATTATCATATGTTGGGCTAGAATTGAAAACCACTCCATTTTCCTTTTCTGGGTGATAGGAGATGGAAACAGCTTCAACTTGGGGACGGGTTTCACTCCTGCAACCTCCCTGGCCACTAGGACCTTTATTATGGCCATGTGGTGAGACTTTTTCAGGGATCATCTTTTGCCAGGGTGTAGACGAGAGCCCTGCTGGTGTTGCAGTCACAGACCACAGAGGTCCCGGCTTGGAAGCGTCAGACAGTCTCAATTCAAACCCTAGCAGTGCCACTTGCCAGCTGTAGGACTGTGGTAGGTTATTTAGCCTCTCTGTGCGGTCAGTTTATCATCTGTCAAATGGGCTATTAGTAGAAAGAGCCCTGCGCAGAATGGAGAGGTGCAGATAACACCTGTAAAGTAGACGGCTTGATGCCTGGGCAAGAGAGCTCTAGAAATACTAGCAATGATGATGCTACTGAAACCAGTGCCCATTTACACTGGTCATTGTGTTGACAGCAACCCTCCCATCGCACCTTGCCTTCCAGGCATTTTACTGGACAGTGGGCAAGCTCCCTGCCTAGGGTTCAAGTCCATGTTCCAAAGACCTCTGTTAACTGGTCTTCCCCTCGTTGGACCCCTGCCAACCTCACCCCTTGGTATCCCTAGAACTCTCTCTTGCTTCTTAGCCTTAAACATGGAGAGGAAAGAGCCAACTTTCATGATTTGAAGTCAGAAAAACCAAGTGCAACAGCCCTCACCTATGGTCATCTGAGGAGACCAGATGAACGCATAGAAAGCTATTAGGATTGAATAAAAGCAGTATGCCAGGTGTGACCACAAAATAAGAAGCCTTTGAAAATCAGTCACACTTGGACCTCTGTGGTCAATGAGTGTTCTTCAAATCAGAACCTTTGGGGGTTATCAATACGTGCTTCACAAGTGTTTGAAGGAGTTGAGAGCCACCTTCAGAGTGTGTGTGAGCCACATGAGCAACTCCCTTGTGTTTCTTGCAGCAAACCTCCTGGATTGAAAATGGGGTTGCGGATCTCTATCTACTGCATCTTTCATCAGATCGTCTTTGAAGTTTTGTGTTTCCAAAATAATCCAACATCATTATCAAGGGATGGAAATGTATCATTATTCAGGAAACTCAAGAGAACAATATTCTGCAGGCTCTATTGAAAACTAGCCAGTTGGGTCGGGCACAGTGGCTCACACTTGTAAACCCAGCACTTTGGGAGCTGAGGCAGGAGAATTGCTTGAGGCCAGGCATTCAAGACCAGCCTAGGCAACATAGTGAGACCTCATCTGTATAATTAAAAAAATATATATGTGTGTGTGTGTGTGTGTGTGTGTGTGTGTGTGTGTATGTGTATATATATATATACATATACATATATATGAAAAAAGAAAAGTAGCAAATTTTAGAAAATGGTTTGAGCAATAACAGTATTGATGGAATAAGTATTGTCTTATTGGGACCTCTTTGAAGAGGACCATACTCACTTGGGTAGGGGAATTCTTGTGGTTTGTTAGGAATTATTTCTAGTACAGTCATGCTTTATGGTAATGGAGTGCTACTGGCTGTAGCTGCTAGCAGAGTTGGGGAGAGATGCCGTGGAGCTCTGGCGGGGGTTGGAGGAACTGTGCTTAACCCCTTCTGCTTTCTGCCTCTGTGGCATTGGATAGCTGCCTAATGTCCCTAGGCCTTAATTTCCTCATATTAAAAATGAGGATAATAAAGACTTTCCTGCTCCTAACAAGGTTTTTGAGGAGGAGCAAATATAATTATGACTGTGAAAGCACTTGTAACTGGACAGAGCAATGTTTTAGTTGTGATATAGTGAACTGGCCATGACCTTGGGCAAGTCATTTAACTTCTGTACCTGCTTCCGTATATGTAAAATGGAGACGATAACTGTTTTGTTGACTTCAGTGTTGTTGGAAGGATGAATGGAGCTGATCCACATGGACGCGCTTTGTAAACATGCATGTGCTGTGTACGTGTTGGTCATGAATGCTTCCCGGGAACACATCAGGCGTTATGTCTCTAAGAGAGTCAGGCATCAGGAAGAGGTAGACATGGAAGGATGAGTGGAAAATTGGAGAGGAGTTGGAGAAAGGGAGAACATTGCTGAGAAATCTCAATAGCCTTTTCAGTTGTTCGTCTCTGTCCTGTCATCTGTCTGTGATTGCCATGGCTAACGCTTTCCCATCTCTTCTGCCTCCCACCAGGTGGGATGTCCTTCACAGCTCTACCCTTGACCTTCTGCCTCCCCCTCGGTTCAGTGAACATTTATGGAGCACCTGCTATGAGCCACAGTCTCTCATAAGAGACCTAGGATTGCGAGAGAATAAGCTAGAATTGTGTAACAAGATAAAATAGTCCAGAGGGAGAGAGTTGTCTCTGGGGAATACTTCTTGGAAGGGGTGATCTCTGAGCTGATTTTGCCAGGAGGCCGAGGGGAAGGAAGTAGGACAGTCTAGGTAGAGAGAACTGTGGGACAAAGGCAGTTCCCTGTTTTCTCCGAGTGGGTGCTTCCAACTACAGTCCAGTTCTGTGCCTTCAGCCATCTGCCAGCATTCGCACAGGTTTAGTGAGCTTCACTTTAAACCAACAGGTAACAGTTATAAATGCAAACACATCATCTCTTCCTCCTCTAAGACCTGACCTCCCTTTGCTTGCTAATGGTCCCACTAATCTCCCAATAATGCACTCAAACCATCATCTTCGTCTCTTGCCACCTTTTCTTACTTACATGAAATCAGCATGGACTCCTCTCTCTCCCTTCCTCCCATCCTTGCTTCCTCCCTTTCTTCTAAATCGTATCAGAGCGCTGAATTCCATTTGGACAGTGAGTTACATAGGACATCAAGATGTCATATCCCTGTTTGTGTCAGGAAATTGCAGTTTGGATCCCAGTGTCCTTAGTGAGACATCCCCGAAGCCCACAAGGAGGAAGCCTAGCTCTGTCCTTTCTGGCTTTTGCTTTCAGTACATGTTACCCTTTCTCTGGAGCGCTCAGTCTTAGTTTTGCCCTTTCTTATTTCATTCTTTCTCTATTTCTGTATTTTTTTTAAACTGGATTTTCATTGCAGTCAGACGGACCTGGGTTTGGATCCAGTTTTACTATTTGCTGTGTAACCTTGGACAAATTACTTAATCTCACTACACCTCAGTTTCCTTATCAGAAAAGTAGGGATAATAACGGGAGGACCTCATAAGGCTGTCGTGAGGATGGATTGAGACAGTCTATGTGAAATGCTTAGCACAGTGGCTGGCATGGAGTGGATGCTACCTACGTTTTGGCTGCAATATAACAATAATAATCATTACTATTGTCCTGCTCTGGTATGTCTTTTGAAAAAATTCCTTAACTTTATTTCTTTTTGTCTTATTTCTCTTTTCAGCCCCCGTCCTTGCTTCCTCTTTCTCTGTTTTATCTTTCTTAAATGGCTATGGCATACAACTGATTTTTTGAAATACTGGTTATATTTGAATAGAATGTCAGGTTTCCTAATCTTGATTTACAAAACGCATTAGCAGACTTTACATTTCTCCCTTAACTAGATTTTAGCTTCTCCCCTCGGAGGCCCTGGAGCTCCCTCCCATCAGCCAGCACAGGCCTCAGAGCCCTTGGTGCTGAAACATCACTCCACGGCTCCATTTTCTAGCAGTCGTCAACGCTCCAGACAAATGATGTTTCTATGATTTCCTCAGAGTCCTGGGCCACTTCACAGAGGTCTGTCGAGTAAATTAACTGCAGAGCTTCTGAAAGTCAGCCGCCAGCTGTGTGGACACCGGGGCCCGGGCCCAGGCCGGGCTGCCCAGTGTGCACACCCCTGGGAGCAGGCCCGTTTCCTCCCGCCCCTCCTGCACCCGCCTCTCCCCCCTCTTCCTCCTCGGAACCAGGATGTTTTTCCTCGCCTTTTTATTGTTTCGCTAACCTGGCAGGTCTCCTTTGGTGGAGCCCTGCCACCCAGCTTCCTCTCTGGGTGTGATCAAATGTGACGGTGACAACACAGGAGACCCGGAAGGCCCGCACCACCCCGCTGGCACCCTTGGCCTTCGCGTCCAGAGGGGACTGGGAGCTACCAGCTTCAACTTCTTTCTAGAAACTCCCCCTTTACCAAAGAGCCTCCTCTTCAGCCACTGTGTTGGATGTTTATTTGTCAAAGGATGAGAGGGGCAAAGAAAATGGAGGCAGCAAGGAAGGTGCCCCTAGAAACAAGGTAGACCCCCTTTCCTCCCTGCAGAAAGCCTTTTTGTTCACTTATTTAACCAACTGGGAATCTTCTGACCTTTGACCCTAGGACTTTTCCTCAAGGCCTTGGAAAAAAAAAAACCTATAGAATTCCTTTTAAAGCAAAGAGCTTGAGGTCACTCCAAGGTCCTTCATCTTTCACTCCTGCTGGGATAGGCTGTATCCCTCCTTCATGCCCGAGGCCACCTCAGAGCCAGTTCTATTTCTGGAAGGCTGACCCTGACTTGGGAGCTCCAGGCCAGGCCTCCCCTGGGTCTGGGTTCAGTCCAGCAGACGTCTGTCACCCGGAGAGAATGCTCAGCTGAACAAGAGCCGACCCCTCACAGGGAGGGGAGGTAGATTTTACTTTCTTCATCGCTAGAGCGCTTGCAGGGGAAGCGTTTTAAAAATCTGATCGTCAAATCTCATGTCTAGCACTTTCCAACATGCTTGATTTTTCTTAGGGCTGCTTCTTTCAGAGCAAGAACAAGGAAGGAAACGAAACTCCCTGAGAGCCCTGGACAGTCCAGATCGAGGGCTGAGTCTTTTGTTCACACAAACTCATTTGGCTTCTAAACGTCCTCCACCCAAAATCATTACATCCGCAGCAGCATTTCAAAACACAGCCCAGAGTGGCCTCGCTGAGTGGGCGGCTGCTTTTCTGGGGAGGCTGCAGCCACCTTCCCACAGGCCCCCAAGGTTCTTGCATGTCCCAGAATATCCCGCTGCTGGCCACCGGCCTGAAATCCCCCTCATCCGGAGGACCCTTGGTGGAAGGTATGAGGCAAAGAGGGCCTGCAGGGGAAGGGCCCCTGCTGTCTGAAGGGGACTGGGACTGGCAGCCGTGGAAGGGAGGATGAGTTTCTAATCCTAACCTTGCCCCTTCCAAACTCCCAGGCACAGTCTCAGTGTCTACCCCTGGGGGGCCCGTTCTCACACCCCAGAAGCATCATAGGGACTTATTAACATGGTCCAGCTCTCCTGGAACTCCTTGAGGTAGATTCTATACCTGATTCATCCGTGTAACCCTCACAGTGTCTTGCTTATGGTTGGTGCTCAGTAAATACATACTTTTTTATTTTTTTATTTTTTTTGAGACAAGAGTCTTGCTCTGTCACCCAGGCTGGAGTGCAGTGGCATGATCTCGGCTCACTGAAACCTCCGCCTCCCAGGTTCAAGTGATTCTTGTACCTCAGCCTCCTGAGTAGCTGAGATTACAGACATGTGCCACCATGCCTGGCTAATTTTTGTAGTTTTAATACAGACAGGGTTTTGCCATGTTGGCCAGGCTGGTCTCGAACTCCTAACCTCAAGTGATCCACCCGCCTCGGCCTCCCAAATTGCTGGGATTACAGGCATGAGCCACTGCGTTTGGCCTAGTAAATACATACATTTCTTATTGTAGTAAAATATGCACAACATAAAATTTACCATTTTAACCATTTTTAAGTATACAGTTCAGTGGCATTGAGTACAATCACAATGTTGTTGCAATCATCGTCACCATCTGTTTACTGAAATTTTTCATCATCCCAAATAGAAACTCATTAAATAATAACTTCTTGTTCCTCCCTGCTTCCAGCCCCTGATAAACCTTTATTCCGCTTTCTGTCTCTGTGATTTTGCCTATTCTTGATACCTCATGAAAGTGGAATCATGTAATATTTGTCCTTTTGTGGCTGGCTTATTTCACTTACCATCATGTTTTTAGGGTTTACCCATGTTGTAGCATGTGTTAGAATTTCCCTCATTTTGAAGGCTGAATAATATCCCATTGTACGTATATACCACATTTTGTTTATCCTTTCATCTACTGATAGACAGCTGGGTTGCTTTCATCTTTTAGCTGTTGTGAATAATCCTGCTATGAAAATGGGTGCATAAGTGTCTGTTTGAGTTCCTGCTTTCAATTCTTTTGCATATAGACCCAGAAGTGGGATTGCTGGATCAACTCATAACTCTTAAGGTTTTGAGGAACCGCCATACTGTTTTCCACAGTGGCTGCACCATCTTACATTCCCACCAGCACTGCGGGAGTGTTCTGAGTTCTCCATATCCTCGCCAGCATTTCTTTTCCATTCTTCCTTTTTGATAATAGCCTTCCTAATGGGTATGAAAGTAAATATTTTTTGAATTTATAAATGCTACTCATTGGTGTATTGCAGATTTGAAACTGTTACTATACCTCTTGGACCTCAGTCCTGTGAAGGTCAGGTTATTTGGTTGCTATGGTCCCTAAGGGTAGTGGTCACCTTTGGAGAGGGATGGGGGCACCAGAGACAATCCAGGTAACTTTGGCCAGAATGAAGGATGTAAAGCAGTATGGATGCTAGTCAGTAGAGCTTGCCACACGCCGGAAATCAGTTTAGCAAGAGCTTCTCTCTGCTCAATCTTCACTGGTTTTCATTTGAAAGTGGTCAGTTAGGAAAGACACTGGAATGAAGGAGCTGGGCTCTAGTCTCTGCTCTGCCACCTATTTTCTGGGTTAACCTGGGCAGGTGACTTATGTACTGAGCCTCAGTCTCCACTTCTGTAAAATAGGGCAAGAATTACCCTCCTGCCTGCCACTCAGAGGGTCAGAATCTAAAGGGATAATTTAGGCCATGAAATTATCCTGTGAAAAGTGCTTTGTCGATTGTAAAATGCATGGGAATTTTTTTCTTAATTTGATCTGTGGGAAGAGAAGCACAGATTCATTCTCCTGGAAAGGACCTGTGAACAGTAGTCTGCCCCTCTTCAGTCTGTGGCCATCCATCATACTCAAAGGGGAATTTTAAAGGAGGGTGCTAAAAGTCCTTTAAAAAAAAAAAAGCCTGTTTTCTCCCCTCCCTGTGTGAACAATTAAATTTTAGGAAAATGTTTTAAAATGACAAAGAAACCCACTCTCATAGGTATAAGGATCCATTGCTGGTATCTAAGACAATGTTATATTTTCATTTGATTGTGGTCCACCAGTCCCCAAATTGAGGATCCCAGGAATGCTCTACCGGGGAGGCAGGAACGGGCAATTCCACAGCTGAGCATCAGTGTCTTACTGTTCTGGAACCGCTCCCTTTTGAGCAATATGACCTTCATCTTTCTTCTACCAGGCGACACCCTAGAAAGACCTAGGGACTTTCTGTAGGGCTGGTCTCACTGCCTTCCTCTTCACTGGCTCCTACCTTTAATTTTGTCCTATCCTTCCCTTGTCATCTGCGTCTCTGTCACTGGCTCTTCTCCTGTCTCTACATTCAAGTTTTCCCGGGAATCAGTCCTTGATCCTTGATTTTTCCCTTCGTATGTCATATCCTGTCCTTTCTCCTAATCAACGGTCCCAAATCTTTAACTGTCTGCCAGACATTTTCCCTTGGAAGTTGTAACATCACCCCAAACGTCACATATCAAAAACAGACTTTTCTTGTTCCTCAAGCTCATTCTCCGTTATGGCTCCACTCTTTCTCTCTTATTCTTTTCGTTATGCGTAAAAATCCTCTCTGAGTTAGAAGCTGATCTAGAAGTCCTCTTGCTCAGTCTTCCAGCTAATAATGTGCAGCTGTTGTCAAATCAAGTCTGTCTGATTCCAAAGCCCGTGTGATAGGCACCATTTCATTCCTCTTAGAGAGAAACAAGGTCAGCACAGTTGTGTTTCAAGCTGCAGTTTGGCTTTTTGTGGGGGACTTGTTTTTTTTTGTTGTTTTTTTTTTTTTTGGCTCTGTTCTTTTGGCCAGTGCCTTAAAGCCTCATGGAATAAGCTGGAGTGTGATGGAATGAGCCCTAGGTTCAGACTGTGTCTGTACTGCTAGTGAGTGCGTGACCTGGAACAATCACTTAATCTTTCTGACCCTCAGTTTCCCCATGTGCTATATGAGGATAATAATACCCGCTTGACAGGGTATTAATGAGATAATGCATGTGAAAATGTTTAGCACGTGGTAAGCCCTAAATAGATGTTAGTGAAATCTGAATCCAAATGGAGGGAAAAGAAAATAAAGGGCTTGTTCTTCAATTGTGTGCCCCAGAAGCTTGTAGCTGGCAGCGCTTGTCATTTGGCCCGCTGCGGGGGTTGAGGCTGAGGTGTGGGGGTGGGGTGGACCCTCCAGGAGGAAATTACCTCTTTGGATAAGACAGCACACTCCCTGTATGCTCCTACTCACTCCACTGCTCAGAAACAATGCAAACTGAAAAGCCCCAAATCACTGGCAGGGAGTGGGGGGTGGCAAGGAGTTGACTCTGTAGCAGCTGCTAATTAGGAAATCCTATTCTTGGGCTGTGCTAGCATCCCTGATGATGCTGGTTCACAAACAGATGTTTTGGAACATTAAGACGCTACAGAAGTGGAAGTTGTCAATTAGGAGGAAAAAAAAAACAGGCAAAGCAAGCAATAAAACGCTCTTGTTAATTTAATCTCCATTCATGGTACAAGGGAAAGTTATGGCCCAGCACAGGGGGCTAAGTACAGAGGGAAGGATGGTATTTTCAGCTCAAAAGATACCTGAGAAATGGGATGTCTAATCTCCAATATGAGGAGGGTTGGTGTGAATGGGGTTTGAATGATTGTCTCTGACCATCTGCGAAGCTGGCCTGGGTGAGGTGCACAGCACCAGCCTACTAAGCCTCCAGGGTGCCCCCTCCCACCCCATGAATGTCTGAGGGGGCACAGCCTCTTCTCCTTACTCCTGACTTCATTGGGCCCAGGCTCTGAAGCTTGAGGAATCCCGTCTCCTTTCCATTTCTCCAGGGCCGTTTCTCTTCTCCACCAAGAATAAGAGCAGGTTCTTTGACACCTCGCCCTCCATGTGGCAGGTTTATTCCAAATTACTCTCCTACTCAGGGTGTACACAGGTGCTGAATAGGGAGCCATGCCCTAAACAGAATTCATCCACAGTGGCCCTGATGAACTCAGGGCTTCAGAAAGGATCAGTCATTGGACTTCAGTACATATTTTAGCATTTGACCCATTGTCCCCACTGCGATGCCACCTGGAATGGTGTAAAGCGCTTGGATGTTCACAGTCAAACAAGACCTCCAGTGGCAGTAGGGGTGGGCTGGGGGTGTTGCCTGCTCCAGCTATGTGGTTTATTAATCCCTTTCCAAGGAAGAGTTAGTAGGCAATAAGAGAGATAGAGGGGTACCCGGAGTTCAATAGGGGACAGTGGGATATTGTTCTTTTGGGGTACCAGGCCAGTGACTTCAAGAGCTTGCTGTGCTGGAGGTGGTCCCAGGTCTCACGCTGTGCGTCCTAAGCTCTCCCTATACCTCCTAGGAGAGGTGTCGTGGAGTGGAATTCAGCGAGGCCCAAACTGTTCCTGCAGCCATTTGTCTAGCCTCAGTGCTTTTGTCAGAGTGGATTCCTAGCTTCCAAGAGGGCTTGGGAGCCTGGGGCCACTCTGGTATGGGCTGTGGTCCACTACCTGAAGAAGGGTTAGGACACTGAGCTTTGATTGATTAGCAGTGCCTGCCAAGGTCATCCACCCAAATCTATTTCTTAAAAGTTGACAACCCTAAATCCATTTAATAGCTATGACATATGTAGCATTCACTGTGTACCAGGCACTCTTTCTAAGCTCTTACATGTCTACATTCCATTGGTTTTCACAACAACCCAGTGAGGGAGATGCTGTTAATATCCTCATTTTACAGAAGGCAAGCTGGGGCATGAAGCAATTAAGGATCTCACTTAAGATCATAGGGTATGAAAGAGGTGGAGCCAGAAGTCTAACCTACATGGTCTGACTTGAACCACAGTCTGTGTATTCCCCCACTGCCTCTCTTATTAAGAATTGAATTTCTAGAGACACGGAAAGCAGTAGTTTCTCACCAGTGCAGGCGACTTTGGTACCCACTGACTAAGGAGAAGTGGAGGTGTAACCACAGAAGGCAGCTCTTTGGGGCCAGCAGGGCCCAGCAGTGGCTGCACTAACCAAGGGTGTATTTGGTGTCTAGCTGCTCTGCAGAGGTGGTCATGGGCTACCAGTTATGGCCATGACTGTTACTGAGTGTAGTTAGGCATCCAGGGGCAGAGCAGCTGAGGCACAAGGAAACTCATCAGTCTTTCAGCTATGCCATCAAAAGCCACTCACATGCTTACATTATGTTTCAGAAATGTCACTGGAACTCCTACCTACACACTTTGTTAGTAGCAAGTTGCATGAGCCAACTTTCTATTAAAGGTCTACAGACTTCACCTACCTTAGGAGGCCATCTGGGGACCCCAGAAAGCCCATTCCTAAGTGGCTTCTCCAGGTCCGTAGACCTGGGATCCTTTTATCAAGATACCAACCATTTTTGTTCTTTTTCTTAGGAGACAATTTGTCATAGATATATTTTTAATAACATGGAATCATATGATACATACTATTTTATAATTTATGTTTGCATTTGACAGTATAGTGTGAGCATAATACATAAGAAAAACTGTATCAACAATGTATTTTGGTCAATCCTTTAAAATGTTATCTCATAATTAAGTTAACCACCTCCCTATTGTAGAAATTTAGGTTGTTTCCACTTTTCATTATTATAAACAATTCTGTGATAAACTTCCTTATACCCGAAACTTTGCACCCTTCCTAATAATTTCCTTAGAACTGATTTCCAGAAATGGAATTCTTGGGCCAAAATATATGCCTATTTTTAATGCTTTTGCAATGGATTGCCAAATTCCTCACCAAAAGGACTGTGTTAATTGTATTTTTACCAATATCGTATGAAAGTACCTGTGATGACATTAGATATTATTCTTAAGTCTTTGCCAATTTGATACACAAAAATACAAAAGTAATGTAAAAGGTCTTTTCTAGTTTGGGTTTGTATTTCCATGCTTTTCAACAATGCTTTCATGTATTTATTCTCCACTTATATATTTCCTTTTGTGAATTGCACATTCATGTTCTTTGTCTACAAGGGGTACATCTTAGGGATTTGAAAAAGTTCTTTATGTGTTAAGGATGCTAAACATTTTTATCAGGCACTGCAGACATTTACCCTTGTTTGTCATTCAACTTTTTGCAAATATAGCTTTTATTTTTATCAGACTTATACATAGTTTGAAAATCAAATAGATTGTATAAGACTGTAATAAAAACTCTGACCACTCCTATTATCATCATTTTCTGTTCCCCAGAATTAACCATTCTCAACCCTTTTTTAACTGATTATCTTAGTAATTTTTTCCATATCTCTAACCTGCTTATGTTGCTATTTATTGATTTTTTTTTTAATTTTGGTTTTAGACAGTATTCACTGATTTCTCTCTATGACAATTTTGTATCATTCCAAGCTCTGCCAGTTTGGAAGTGACACACTCCATTTCTTTTCTTTTTTTTTTTTTTTTTGAGACAGGGTCTTGCTTTGTCATCCAGGCTAGAGTGCAGTGGCACCATCATAGCTCACTGCAGCCTTGACCTCCTAGGCTCAAACAGTCCTCCCACCCTAGCCTCCCAAGTAGCTGCAACTACAGGCATGTGCCACCATGCCTGGTTAATTTTTTTTTATTTTGTAGAGACAGAATCTCTACTTGAGGCCCAGGCTGGCCTCAAGTAATCCTCCCACCTCAGCCTCCCAAAGTGCTGAGATTACAGACATGAGCCACCATGCCAGGCCTCTATTTCTGTTCTTTAGAGAGGTATTTTAAATGCATTTTTCACAGAACTCAAAGTTACGCTTCTGCTATGCAACATGATTCTAATTATCCCATGCCAGACTTACGAACTATTGTTATCTAGGATTTGTTCTGACTTGTTTTATTAATTTCACAAATGAGAAATTATTGTTATTATTTCATAAATTCAGTGTTCCTTTAGATTTATTCACACATGTATTTTTTTTGCTCATTATATTGCCTTGCATCTGATATCTTTCATTAAGAATTGTTTTTCTTCTGCTTGAAAGAAATTTGTTATAATTTACTGTAGTAGAAATGGTTGAAAAACTCAATTTTGACTGAACGTGTTTTTATTTGATAGTCTGAAGATGTTTCTCAAAGATAGCTTTGCCGAATATACGATTATAGTTTTCTCTCTCAGCACGTTGAAAATATTTATCCACTGTCTTTTGGCTTCCATTGTCACTGTTGAGAAATCAGCTGTAATTGTCACCTTGTATAGATGATTTGCCATTTTTTTCCCCTCTGGTTGCTTTTAAGACCTACTCTTAGTCTGTGGTTTTTGTGCAGTTTCACTATGATAGAGGTACATGTTTCGTTTTTAATTTACTCTAAGGAGCCTCCTTAGAATGAAGATTTATAGTTCTCATTAGTTTGGGAAATTTTCCAGCCATTACCTTTTAAAATATTACCACTTCTGTAAGCCCCACACTTTGTGAGGCTGAGGTGGGCAGATCACCTGAGGTCAGGAGTTTGAGACCAGCCTGGGCAACAGGGTGAAACCCCATCTCTACTAAAAATACAAAAAAAATTAACCAGGTGTGATGGCACACCTGTAATCTCAGCTACTCAGGAGGCTGAGGCATGAGAATTGCTTGAACCCAGGATGTGGAGGCTGCAGTGAGCTGAGATGTACTCCAGCCTGGGTGACAGAGTGAGACTCTGTCTCAAATAAAAAAATAAAAATTAAATCAATGTTTTCACTTCTACTTTCTCTGTTTTCTCCTCCTAAACTCCAATCAGTTGTGTGTTGGACTTTCTCACTCTTTTTGTCTCTTAACCTCTTTTTCATATTTTCTGTTTTTTAATCTCATTTTGGGCATTCTGTTATCATTTATTTTCTAATTCATTTTTTTTTCTTTTGAGATGGTCTCACTCTGTTGTCCAAGCTGGAGTGCAGTGGCACAATCACAGCTCACTGCAACCTCCATGTCTCGGGCTCAAGCAATCCTTCCACCTCAGCCTTCCAAGTAGCTGGGACCACCGGTATGCACCACCACACCCAGCTAATTTTGTTTATTTTTTTGTAGAGACAAGGTCTCACTATGTTGCCCAGGCTGGTCTTGAACTCGTGGGCTCAAGTGATCCTCCTGCCTTGGTCTCCCAAAGTGCTAGAATTACAGGCATGAGCCACCATGCCTAGTGAATTATAATTATTTTCTAATTCTCACTTTGGCCATATCTAATCTGTTGTTGAGTTTTTAAAATTTCAATTATTACTTTTTTTATTTCTAGAATTTCCATCTAGCTTTCTTTCAAATATTTTGGGTTATTATTTATAGTCTCTTTTTAAAAAAATTTTTTCTAATGTAATTTTGTATACTTCTTTGTCTGGTAATTCTAGCATTTGAAGTCTTTGCTTCTCTAATTTGTTGGCAATTGTTTAACAAGCAAAGACTTCAACTACTAGAATTACCAGACAAAGAGGTGTGGATGTCTTGTTTCCTCATGGATGCCTCGTTTTCTCAATAAATGATAAAAACTGGTTTGAAGATATGTTTATCTAGAGAGCATTTGTATTTGTGTCTACACAATACAGGTACCTGGAGGCACTATCCATCAGGACCGCCCCTGCCCCATTATTAACAGGATGTGTGTGTATTGGAGATATAATTTACATCAGTGGTCCCCAACCTTTTTGGCACCAGGGACTGGTTTCATGGAAGACAATTTTTCCACGGATAGGGCGGGGTGGGGTGGGCCGGGGGTTGGGATGAAACTCTTCCACCTCAGATCATATCAGGCATTAGATTCTCATACGGAGCATGCAACCTAGATCTTTCGCACATGCGCAGTTCACAATAATGTTCTTGCTCCTTTGAGAATCTGATGCCACTGCTGATCTGTCAGGAGGCGGAGCTGAGGCGGTAATGCTCGCTCGCCCACTGCTCACCTCCTCCTGTGCAGCCTGGTTCCTAATAGCCCGCGGACCGCTACCAGTCCATGTCCTGGGTTTGGAGGTCCCTGATTTACATGCCATAAAGTTTACCCTTTGAAAGTATACAATTCGGTGGGTTTTAGTACATTCCCAGGATTCAGGACCACTCGTAAATACATCCTCAGTTTAGACCACAGAGGTAATGTGACATACAGCACACCCATACGAGGGCTAGCTTTGTGATTATATATACTCGGGTGAGATTTATTTTTTCTTTCACTTGAAACCAAGATTGAAGGGCCAGGTTTCCTTGCTGTGCCCTTCTGCGGGGCCGGTTTGTTTCTATTTGCCTTACACCCAAGGCATAGCTGTGTAAAGTCCCAGCTTTACACAGTGGTTTCCCGTTGGATTCCCTCCTTGAGAATCGTGGCTCCCATCTCCTGATTCTTGGCAGCCATCAGAACAGAAATTCAAGGTCACAAATGTTGAACAGGTGCCTCCAGGGCAGCTGCCAGCCTCAACATTAGCTCACTTCTCTGGATTCCTAGTCATGGTTCATTTTTGGCCTCAGATTTGATTCTTTACTTACTTGCCAGCTCAGCAGTGCTTTTAGAAATTTTTTTAAAAAAATATTTTATTCAGCATTTTGAGTTGTTTATAGTGGCAGGGTTATGGAGGATACTGCAGGACTGTTGTCTACCTTTCAGTTTTGTTTATGGTGTGCATTTTTTCTTTCTTACATCTTTAGTCACCCCTCTAGGAAGAGAGCGCAGGTCAGTGTGGGTCCTGCCCTGTCTGCATGTGGCCATTCTTTTCCCCTCGGAGACTGCACTGGAGTTCCCTGAGCTGAATGGGCTCTGGGACTTCCAATCCTGGTCCTTGGAGAGGAAGGGAACAAAGCTGCTTCCTCAAAGGCCCCGCCACACTCACCAATGGCTGAGTCTCACCTTGTCTGAAGGTTGTAATGGAGCCAAGTTCATTGCCTTCCCTTTGCTCAGAGCTGGCCAGCTTTGGGGCATGGGTTTTGAGTGCCTTCTGCTTCCCTACAATCACTTCTCTCTGTCTTCCTTGGAGAATAATGTCTCATTGTGCACAGTTAGCCAAGAGGAGACAGAAAGCATCCTCAGACCTTTCACCTCCTCCCAGGAGACCAGCTTGCCTTCGCAGCTCCCAGAGGTAGAACAAAGGGACATGCCCTGTGGGCCACTGTTGTCTGTAACCCCAGTCTCTCAAGCTGAACTTACAGGCCTTGTGGCTGCCCCTGGAAACGCCCTTCCACATCCCATTTCTAGCTGCATGTGGGTCTTGCCTGTCTGGAACTGGGCCCCAGAGGAGCCCAGAGGCATGGCAACTTCCCTCCCCCTCCAGGAAGCCTCTGTTAATTATCACCCACAGGAAACAGAACAGGAGGCATAAAAACAGTTATCTCAAGGGATTTGGGGAGGAAGTGATTCCCTCAGGAAAGCCTGTCAGAATGTCTTCTGGAAGTTTTTTATAATCTTCACCCCCTAACCCCAAATAAGTGAGCCACTGCTTCTAGAAGGAGTGAATCAGAGTGGAGAAATGTTCAGAACCATTGATCTAGAACTGCACTGGCAAGTGATGCAGCCACCAGCCACGTGTGGTTGACGCAGCCACCAGCCACGTGTGGCTATGGAGCTCTTGAGATGTGGCTCCTAAAACATTCACTGGATTTTAAATGTTTAACACCAAAAAAAGAATATAAAATATCTCAATATTTTTATATCAGTTACATATTGAAGTGATAATCTTTTGGATATGTTGAGTGAAATAAAATATTAATATTGAAATTAATTTCACATTTTTTAATTTTAAAAATGCAGCTACTAGAAAATTTAAAGTGTACACATGTGGATTGTGTTTGTGACTCAGTATCTCTTAGGCAGCACTGATCTGAAAGATAACTTGTTCCGTGTGTATGTGTGTGTGCGTGTGTGTGTGTGTATGCATGCCTGTGTGTGTAGGTGTTTAAGTGTATGTGTATGTGTGTATATGTGTATGTGTGCATGTGTATGTGTGTGTATGTGTGCCTGTGTGTGTATGTGTGTGTGTGGGGGGTATATGTGGGTGTGTGTGTGTGTATGTATGTATGTGTGTGTGTGTGTGTGGTATTTAGATACAAACTGTAGGTTCTACCTGCAGCCTCTACTTGTCCGATGGTTTGCCATTTTTGTTTGATTCATATAAATCGAAGTGATTCCATTCATCCCCACAGAGGTTTCTCACCAATGCCCACAGTCCCCATTCCCAAACAGAAAGAGAAATAACATTTCCAAGTGGGGAAAATTAAATGGTTTTATCAGGGAGTCACGTAATCAGTGACAACTTCATGTGGCCCTGTCCTCACCCTTGCTCAGTGTCCCTCAATTGGCACCCATATTTGATATTGGATTCCAAATTAGTTTGGATGTATGGGGAAAGGACAGTGTTCTCAGAATGCTGTTTGGTTTTGGTACTATTTTTTAGGGGCCTGGCACCCAGCAGTGACCCAGCACTCAGCAGTGGCCCAGCTTTGGCTTCTAAGCAGTGGCCAGGTTGGGTGCAGACTTTTCCAGAGTAACAGGGCAGCTTTCTTGGACGTGACTTGGGCATCCCACGCACCTGCTCTGACCCTGAACCTCCTGCCTTGACAAACGGCATTTGATGCTACACATGACTTCCTTTTGCCCAATTTAACCCCCAACTTTAACTTCATCCTCAGAACATTTTTAACTAATACCCTCTTTGCCACCATCTTGGGTGTTATGGAAGTTAACTATCATTTAAATATATTTTCTGACTAATATAAATATATTCCTAATATACGGGGTTCAAGTAACAGTCCATACTCAACAGCATTATTTCCTCAGCACTCCCAACTGGAAACCATTCTCCTCTCCACCATTTTCCCTTCCAGCTGAGCACAGCTGGCGAGTGAGGGGCCTGGGTTTGGAGCAGGCTGCCTGGCCCTCCTGCTTTTTGACTGTGCGACTTGGGCAAGATGCATGACCTCCCCCACCCTCCATGCCTCCTTTGCTTCCTATGTAAAATGGGAAGTATAAGAGGACCTGTCTTCATCTTTGTGCAATGCTTGAATGAATACACATCAGGCACCTACGTCTGCTACCTACCTCCATGCATATTTACTGTTATTATTATTTTTCACAAAATGAGATCATTACATATAAAGTCTATTTGAAGCATGCTGTTTTAATTCAACAATCCCTGAAGAATATCTTTATTTTATAGCACCAATTCAGTGACCACATAGTTTTCTTTCTTGTGGATACTGTCTACTGTAACTGATTTAATTGATAACCTGCTGAAGGAGTTTTAGGTTTGTTCTTTCTCTTCCTCTTTCTACTGTAAACAATGCTGTAATGAACATCTATGCAGCTAAATCTTTGTCCACATTCTTGAGTATCTCCTTCAGATAAATTCAATTTGGAATTGCTGCCTCAAACCCATTCACATCACACAAGTTTCAGTAATATTGCCAGAGTCTTCATGTTTTATCAGAATTGCGCATTACAGCTCCCACCTGCAAGAGTAGGTGTCAGGGTCAAGGGCTGCCAGCTTTTATAATAGCTTCCTACCACCCACCCCAGGAGGCACAGTTAGCAACTTTGGCGAATATGAGATGCTTCTTGCCTTTTGCTTACACCCAATCTTCCTCCTCTAATCCCCTCTCTGACCCTGCACAGGTGCCAGAGGTTCAGTTGCTCTTCCATGAGCCCCATGTTGATCTCTTTCTATCAATAAATTTCCATCATTTATTCTATGCACAATGAAATTTAATCCTGTATTATATTGTTGCTTCATAATTCCTTCCTCTGGATTATAAGAATAATGAATATGGGAAAAAAAGAAAGGTGAAGTTATTATTTTTTAAGATGGAGTTTCACTCTTGTTGCCCAGGCTGGAGTGCAATGGCACGTTCTTGGCTCACCGCAACCTCTGCCTCTTGGGTTCAAGTGATTCTCCTGCCTCAGCCTCCCTAGAAGATGGGATTACAGGCACCTGCCATCACGACCGGCTAATTTTTTTGTATTTTTAATAGAGACAGGGTTTTACCATGTTGGCCAGGCTGGTCTCGAACTCCTGACCTCAGGTGATCCACCCGCCTCAGCCTCCCAAAGTGCTGGGATTATAGGTGTGAGCCATCATGCCTGGCCAAAATTCTTTTACTTGAATTCACTCTCTACTGATGTATTTCACGGTGTCTTTTCTGAAGGTTTACTTTTCTTGTCAGAAGCCAGCAAACTCTCCCTGATGCATCCTCTTCTTCTTTCAGATGCTGCCTGGAAACATTGGCCAGAAAGTAACACTGAGGCCCATGTAGAAAACATCACCTTCTATCAGAATCAAGAGGACTTTTCAACAGTGTCCTCCAAAGAGGGCGTGATGGTTCAGACCTCTGGGAAGAGCCATGCTGCTTCGGATGCTCCAGAAAACCTCACTCTACTCGCTGAAACAGCAGATGCTAGAGGAAGGAGCGGCTCTTCAAGTAGAACAAACTTCACCATTTTGCCTGTTGGGTACTCACTGGAGATAGCAACAGCTCTGACTTCCCAGAGTGGCAACTTAGGTGAGCTTGTGCTGATGATGCGCATTTCACGCATGTGTGTCCAGTCCTGGAAAACAAAGTTTCTGCCATTCCCCACAACCCCATTCTGAGCCATTGTGCCCTTCCAAGGTTCCTAGGCTGGGGTGGGTCAGACCTGTGACTTAGGCCTCATATGTATTATGCTTGCCAATACAGACCAGACAAGGGTGCAGATTTGCTGGTCCTGTGGTATCTGTGATCCATGGCCAGTGGAATCCAACCTTCATTCTTTTTCCAGGGAGCCTGCCACACCCGAGGGTCTCAGAGGCAGTAGGTTTTGTGGGATGCATAGCTGCGACAGGCTTGGGTTTGGTTTGTGTTGATGTGGCCCAAACGGTTGTTCTTGCCCTGGTGTGCACAGCTTGGTGGTTTGCTATTTTTAGCAAAGAATGTCAAGAAGGTGCTGGGGCTCAATGGGTAAAATTGCACGGAGGAAGAGAAGACTAAGAAAACTAGCATTAATTAGGGACCTACTACATACCACCATGTCTGTTCTCTCAATCCTTCTAGCAAGCCTATGAGATCATGTTATTCTCCTTTTAGGCATTTGGAAACTGAAGCTCAGAGAAGTTAGTTGTCCCAATATGTGTAGGTCAAACAGTTAACAGGTTTCAGAACTGGGATTAGAGCTTATGTGTATGTATCTGAGCAAGGTGGTGGGGGTGCTGAGGTGTGGAATGCCTGGACAACGAGAGTGAGGTGCAGAGGAGAGAAAGACAGGTGTGGCCTCTCTGTAGGGTGGTAAGGCCAGCAGGCTCCCTTGGGGAGGGCATCAGTTGCCCACAAAGGAGAGGAGGAACAGGTAGGACCATTGCGTGAACGGGGTTAGGGACAATCACGGAGGACTTTTGAAACCTGGCAGTTTAGATTTGGTGTGGTAACAAGAGTCAGTGAAGGTTTCTGAGCAAGTAAGTGACATAACTAAAGTGAATTTGAGGAGGATTCGCCTGGCAGGCAGGTTACAGGATGTCTAGCATGGGGGTAGGAGGATGGAGGGAACCTGGAGTCAAAGGGACCACCCAGGCAGACAGAGAAATTCAGACACCAGGTGCTGCGATGTGGCCTAGTGGCCACAGGGATGAAGAGGAGACTTCACCAAGGAAAAGTGATAGGACCTGTTGATGGCCTGAAAGTAAAGGATGAAGCCGTCAGAGATGACTCCATGGTTTCAGGTCCTAGTGGCAGGAGATCTGGTTGGGAGGGACTCGATTCTGTAAAGATGCATATGAAAGTCTTTTGTATTCATAAATGATTCCTACAGAGCTTAGAAACTCTGCACATGACATTCCCTGGTCCTCTTGGTCACCCAGATATTAGGAATTTTGTTTATATTGCATTCAGGTACATTCTGGGACCAATCTGGTGGAATGTGGATGCTGGGTCCTGATGATCAGACCCTGATCTCTGATTCCATATTGTCTGATACTTACCTCCAGTGAGCTCCTTTTCTGAGAATTTTACCACAATACACAGAATCTTTGTGAGATCTAATACACAGACCTTGGTCTGTGGTCTCTTTCAGGAGTTTATTTTTCATAGACTGAATTATTCTCCTAATTTCTTCTTATGTCTGTATATTTTGTAGATGTCAGAACTGAGCCCCCTAAAAGCATATTAAGACATTTTGAAGTCTGCTGGTGGAATTCTAATTGTTTTTGTCTGTTTTCAGCCTCAGAAAGTCTTCACCTGCCATCCAGCAGTTCAGAGTTCGATGAAAGAATTGCCGCTTTTCAAACAAAGAGTGGAACAGCCTCGGAGATGGGAACAGAGAGGGCGATGGGGCTGTCAGAAGAATGGACTGTGCACAGCCAAGAGGCCACCACTTCGGCTTGGAGCCCGTCCTTTCTTCCTGCTTTGGAGATGGGAGAGCTGACCACGCCTTCTAGGAAGAGAAATTCCTCAGGACCAGATCTCTCCTGGCTGCATTTCTACAGGACAGCAGCTTCCTCTCCTCTCTTAGACCTTTCCTCATGTGAGTGCCACATACCCAGCTTAACACTCGGAAGTCACTCAAAGTAGACATAAATCAATGTGCATAGCCAGCTAGTTACATACTCATAATAGTGGGTAAGGGGAAAAGACATCAAGCCAAAATGCCATTCCTCTAATGCCAGGTACTTGGAGTGGAAGTAGGTACAACCTACCCAGTTTATCTCAGTATTGAGCCTCATGTTTAACATAGTTTTTCTTTTTTTGTCGCCCAGGCTGGAGTACAGTGACGCGATCTCAGCTCACTGCAACCTCTGCCTCCCAGGTTCAAGCGATTCTCCTGCCTCAGTCTCCTGAGTAGCTGGGATTACAGGCGCCCATCACCATGCCCGGCTAATTTTTGTATTTTTAGTAGAGACGGGGTTTCAGCATGTTGGCCAGGCTGGTCTTGAACTCCTGACCTCAGGCGATCCACTCACCTTGGCCTCCCAAAGTGCTGGGATTACAGGCATGAGCCACCACACCCAGCCATTGGTGTCTATTCTCAAACAAGAGACCTTACCTTGGGGTGCATGAAATGGTGAGCATTGTACCATTTGATTAGGAGTGAGATTTTTATTTCTTCATTATTGCAAAAATGTTTCCTTCGATGGTAAAGAAAACATGAGTGTACATTTTTCTAGGCATCATTTTGAAAAAAAAAGCAGATATAATGCAGGAGTTTGCAAGGCGTGATATTAGTAACTACAGCTGTGGAGTGCTCTCCTCTCTCTCTGCTGTTCCAATTACTATTCATCACTTAAGTCTCAGCTCAGGGATTCCTGAGCCTTTCTTCAACCATCTGGTCCTCTGTGCTGTACACCTCATCATAGCAGGTCATCTAATGCCTCTCTGCCCAGAGAGACTGTAATCCTCTTGAGGACACCGGCTGTGTCTGTTACTTCCTTTAGGTTCCCCCTCGCCCAAGAACAAGGTGCAGCCGATAAGACATAGGGATTAGCATGTGCCCAGATACCCTCACAGGGCACATCATGCCATGGGCCAAAGAGAGTATTGGAAACTCTGACCATCTTTTTTCTTCTCCGAGGTTTTATTCAGTGTTTGTGTGTGCTGCTTGTGTTTTCATCCTCGTACCATAGGGAGCAGGACAGAGAGGGTTGGAAATGTTCTTGGAAAATAGAGGTTAGGTTGTCTCCAAAATTGCCATTGCAAAATTTTTACAGGTCAGAGGTTTTTAGAAGTAACTTGCGAGACTAGGAGTTTGGGTTTGTGTCATCAAAGCAAAAACTAAACCCAGGAGTCCCTTCTGGAGTGCCTGTTTAAAGCAGCCAATTCTTCTTCCACATACCCTGTATACAGTTTCCTGCTGACTGGATTTGGATATAATTCATGATTCATGTTTTTAGAAGATTGCTTTTTAAGATTATTCATAAACATTGCTTGGATTGGATAAAAGCTGCAATTCTTCCAGCCTCAAAGTTCTGTGGTTCAGTGATTTACAACTTTACTAAACGGTAGAAAGGAAGTATTTTTTAGGAAGCTATGCTTTGATTCTGGTCAGGATCATTTAATATTTATAATTTAAATTCAACCTACTTTGGTGGTATATTTGAAAAATCAGCCTATGTTTCCAACTTTACTGGACTTGACTCTATGACTCTATATTCACCTATATATTTTTTTCACGTATATTTTTCAACACTAAAAAATTAATTGTCCCTGAAATTCTTTACCATCCATCCTTTTAAAAGCTTATACTTTTAACTGCTGGTGAGTTTCATCGTATCTTTCATATCTCTTGAGTCTTTTACTGAACACTTCTCTTCCTTTTTAGTGAACTGTGTGTTCAGTTCGAGGTAGAGTCCCACCACCCTTTTAGATATTAGAGATGGCTCTGGGTGCTGTTAAATGGGGTTCTCACCAGGCATCCAAGTATGTCTGAATCCATCCTGCCAACCTCCCCTCCTCCCCGTGGGGATGCAGAGGGTACATGTACAAAGACCTGAAGTTACATGGGAAACAAACTTCTGCTTTGTTTTTAAAGCTGGGCTGGCATCTGGTAACCCACTAACCAGAGTCTTCCCCTTGAATCTAAATGTTGAGACATTACTGTCCCTTTCTGACTACACGATACAGGAGCTCTAGGCACTCAGGCAAGAGTGCTGAGAGAGAGCCAGCAGGACCTGCCAGGGAGACCTGGAGTCGGCTCAGCCTGGCTGGCCAGCTCTGGAAAAACAAAAGCAAAGGAGGTGAACACTTGGCCACTCCACCCACTAGGAAATATGACCCTGTGAAAAGCCTGGCGCTTACACCAGTCCGATGAGTGATGCGCCTCACTAGGTGAACACAAGGAAGATAGCTAGGAGCCTGGCATGGAGAGGAGGTGGCTCCTTATTTGGAACATGAAGGAATTTGACCAGATGATCTGAAAGATTCTAGTTTCAGCATCTATGATTCCACGTGTATTCAGCCTTTGTATTCTGTGCCTCGTTTCACTCTTCACTCAGCTACACAGAAACATGCATGCAACATAACCTCTTCCGAGGCTGGGATAGTCAGGAGTTACCTGCTTCCAAAACCAAATTGTATGCCTTACAGTGTTAAAGCAAGTATAGGCCTAGGCAATGGAATCAGATTTTTAAAAAGAGATCAGAAACCATTGGAAATTGTTTTTCTTGCTGCTTTACATCTTTTGCTGCTTTATGTCCTTCTATGTGTTCCATATTTTTTAATAATGACCATTGTACTATTTGATCATCGGAGGGAAAAGCAAACAAAGCAACGAACAGGGAAAAAAGCTCCCTTTTGAAGGTGGAAAGAGATATGTGTATGTTGAATTGTGTGAGAGTGGCTACAATTGAGCACTAAATTTAGTACTGAGCTTCCTGGAAACCAGGGCACAAAGGGAAACCGGGTGGGGCATGCAATTGTTTTCAGATAAAGTAAGCATACAATTTCATCCATAGGCATAAGTGTTTGGGGGCAGTACATTTTAAGAGGACTGTTTATATAAGAAATGTTGAGAATCATAATGGAAAATGCCTTCAATTGCTGTTTTGTGGAAATTGAGCTAATGTTCTTTAAAAGGTGATATTTTATATAGATTCTCAATAGGAGCTGAGGATATAATAATGTATCTCAACTTATGAAAGTATTTCTGTGGGTGGCTAAGCTACTGTGGTCCAGGTAAATTGCTTTGTGGTGATTTCACTTTGTAAAGAAAGAGAGCATAAATAACTCAGAAGATTGCAGATGTGACGTATCTTTCTCAAATAGCTGCTTCAGCTGTACTTTCGGCAAGTTCTGGATAGCAGTCAGGTCAAGGTTGAGCGTTCCGATGTGTTCCTGAGGTTCCAGTGTTTTGTGCTGTGATTGAAGAGAGACCCATGTACTTTTAGCAGACGAGTAGGCATTCTTGCAACCTCCCATTATAAAGATCAGGAATTTGGCTTGTTTCTGCTCCCAGATGGATGGTCTTTCCGTCGTTGAATGGCTGCTTTCGGGGTAGAAATGAGCAAGAAGGGCAATTATTAAATAACCAAGAATCCAGCCTGTTGATTAGAAATGTGGTACATTTCCCCCAGATTTATTTAACAGGTGCTCATTTAGTAATATAAGTGGTGTTTGTAGATTAGTTTGACCAAACATTTTCTCTTTTTACGAAGAGTCACCAACTCTGCCAAAGTATTCACACACATTTCATAGCTTTCCCGTGAGGATTAAATGAGATTTGTATACAATGTACTTCGCCCAATGCCTTGCAAGTCATAATTGGTCAGTAAATGGTAGTTTTTGATAATGATGATAATGATGAGATAATGAGATAAAGAAGCAATGTTCTGCAGAGCTCTCAGAGTCAGGGAAAAACAGAGCAGTTTTCCTTTCATGACTTTCAGCATTTGTGACTTTTGTAATTATATTTCTGTGGCCATTGATTTGCTAAATCCACTAGAGATGGACAGGCCTGGGTTTTTCAGGCTGAATTCAGTATCACCACTGGAGTTTTTTTGGTTTGTTTGTTTTGTTTTGTTTTTGTTTGTTTTTTTGTTTGTTTGAGACCAAGTCTCTCTCTCTGGCTCAGGCTGGAGTACAGTGGCACAATCTCAGCTCACTGCAACCTCCACCTCCCAGGTTCAAGCAATTCTCCTGCCTCAACCTCCCGAGTAGCTGAGATTACAGGCACCCACCACCACAGCCGGCTAATTTTTGTATTTTTAGTAGAGATGGTGTTTCACCATGTTGGCCAGGCTGGTGTCAAACTCCTAACCTCAGGTGACCCACCCGCCTCAACCTCCCAAAGTGCTGGGATTACAGGCATGAGCCACTGCACCCGGCCGACCACTGGATTTTGATGGGAATGTTGAATGGATGAAATTAATGCAGTATCCTGGGAATAAAAGTGTTTTGAAAGAACCTCTAGCAAGCTAATGAGGCTGTAATTTGGTGGATATAAATGATGACTCTAATGAAGTTAGGGCTGAGAAGTCACATGGTTGAGTGAGGATTTGGGGCATATCTATAATGCTTTCTTTTCTTTTTATTTATTTATTTCTTTTTTTTTTTAATACTGAAGTGTGTTTTGTTTGTTTTGTTTAGTTTGGTTTATGTTTTTAAGTAGAGGTGGGTTTTGGTGGTCTGGGACTCTATTTTTGTGTCCAGGTCTTTCTGTTTCTTGTTTCCATTACTAGTTTTATAGATTGCCTGCATCTTCATTTTGTCTCCATTAAGGTGGGGTGACCAGAGCTGCCGGCTGTGTTCTGGATATAGCTGGTTTTATGGTTTTGCACAAGAATGAGAGGAACCTTTTTGTTTCCCATGCATGCTCTCTCTCTCTCTCTCTCTCTCTCTCTCGCTGTAGTGATACTTAAAATTTATTTGTGGTTTTGCTCACAACTGCACATAGGACTGGTCTTCAAGGAAATGTTTGTAATGACAACTTCCTTTTTCCCTTTTCTAGGCCATAATTAACAGCTCAAAGCCTTTTATTATATAAGTGTAGAGTACTTTTTATTATTTTTAGCCTAAAAAGAAGAAAAACACTCTCTTTTTGTGACTTTAGTCTTACCCACCATGTTTCTTTCCATTCCCTAAGCTTTCCTGCAGTTTATTCCCGTTTGGAATGAAGATTTTAATAGACCTTTCTGGAGGTCAGTTCTCAGGGCATCCTTTGGAAAGTTATTTGTGGAAAGGAGACACCCGTACTTATGTGGAGCAGACTACACCTTTTGACCAATAGCGTCTGATTCACTCCTTGAGGCTCTTGACAGTTTCCCCATGGCAGCCATCCATCTATTAGAGCAAATGCTCCTGGAGTCCTTGATCTCTGAGGGGCCCATTGGAGTAGTATGCAGATTTGAGAGCTGGTCTCTAAAGCTTAATGGGGCAAAGTATGATAATGAAGCCTGTTTGCTTTTGGGTGGAATTAAATTTGTGGGGTAATAATAAGTATTTCCTGCTGGTTAGAAATTCTGTTACTTAATAAATGCAGTTTGGTTAATAGTCTTTCAAAACATAGGGCTTATGGTGGCCATGAGGTAGGGAAAAATAAAGAACCCTTGATGGTGACAAGCCTAGGAATTACTGCTCTAGGCCATGAGTGTCCCAGCTGTGTTCTGCAAAACCCTCGGCCTCCTCAACAGTGACCTGGGGTGGGGCACCTTGCAGCAGCTTCACTTTTATTCATTTTATATTATGAGATTTTAATCAATAATAGCATTTGAACAAAAAGGTTACATTGCTAAAACAAAGCAGAACAAAATAACAAAAACCTTATCACAGTGGCCAGTCCTGTTTAAGCTGTAATGTAGAATTCAGCAGACATTTTCATCTTTCTCTTTAAAAAACAAATAATGCAAACAACGTATAAGCTTCTCATTGTGCCTGGTGAGGGATCTCGGTGTTCTCCACCTTCCTCTGTGAGGATTAGACCTAGTAAGGGGAGAGTGCAGGCATGTGTCCTGGTAGCATGCGTGTGTATAGATATGTTTGTATCTATATTAGGTCCATGGTATTTAGATGTATCCACCAAAATGTAAGAAACGTCATTTGTATCTCGAATATAGTCCGGATTTTCTTAAACTCCTGAGTAATTTTGAAGCATATCTTTTTCCATTGTAGCTTCTGAAAGTACAGAGAAGCTTAACAACTCCACTGGCCTCCAGAGCTCCTCAGTCAGTCAAACAAAGACAATGCATGTTGCCACCGTGTTCACTGATGGTGGCCCGAGAACGCTGCGATCTTTGACGGTCAGTCTGGGACCTGTGAGCAAGACAGAAGGCTTCCCCAAGGACTCCAGAATTGCCACGACTTCATCCTCAGTCCTTCTTTCACCCTCTGCAGTGGAATCGAGAAGAAACAGTAGAGTAACTGGGAATCCAGGGGATGAGGAATTCATTGAACCATCCACAGAAAATGAATTTGGACTTACGTCTTTGCGTTGGCAAAATGATTCCCCAAGTAAGTATTCCATCTTTACTTGATCTATTAGGGACATTTGTAAATCATTGAATTTTCTTAGGGGACCTCTTCAAGACCATTTGTAATCTCCAGAGAAAAGTGTGCTTTTTAATGGCACTATTGCATTTTGATGGTCACTCTTATGAGAACATTGTGAAGTTAGTCAGACAGGTGTCATTCCTCCTGCTTTCTTATAGATGAGAAAACTACGGCTCTGAGTGTTTAAGTAATGGGTGCCTGGCCATTTAGCTCACTCAGTAGAGTTGAGACCTTAGCCTCAGGGTTCTTGGTTCCATCTTCTTTTCACTCTACAGGATGGTCTTCAAGCTGAGAGCCGGCCTACTCTTTATGTTTTATTTTGTTTTGAAGACAATGTCTGGCTCTGTCACCCAGGCTAGAGTGCATTGGCATGATTACGGCTCACTGCAGCCTCAACCTCTCCAGGCTCAGGTGATCTCTCACCTTAGCCTCCAGAGTAGCTGGGACTACAGGTGCATGCCACTCCATCCAGCTAATTTTTCTATTTTTTGTAGAGATGGGGTCTTGCAATGTTGCCCAGGCTGGTCTTGAGCTCTGGCCCTAAGCAATCCTCCTGCCTTGCCCTCCCAAAGTGCTGGGATTACAGGCATGAGCCACTGCACACAGCCTGGCCCACTCTTCAAACTAGCTTCAGTTATTTTGTGTACAGATCATCTTTCTGCATAAATGTGCAGATATAAATATTATTCCCAAATTCGTGGTTTGGCTTAATCCTTATAATTGATTTTTGTTTTTGCTATACTTTGGTATTTAGAATAACCTTTATTCATATGAGAACTGTTTTAGGAAAGTGCTCTGACTGTGCTATATTTATTTGCATTGTATTTGTTGTACATAACCACACACTCACTCTCTCGAACACTTTTTATGGGAAAGAGAATGAAACACTCAAGCCTATAGGTTACTTTGCTACTTGCACATGCTATTTCAAAGGTCCCCTGTTCAACAAGTTATATTTTTTTGTATTACTCTCTTGCTGCCACCCAAGAGTTTTGAAATAATTATTTAGAATATGATAGTGCATAATACATTTAATAAACACTATACCAGGTTCCTTGGCAAAGAATCTTTCCCTAGAGAGGTCTCACTTCTTAGTTGCCAAGGGATCTCTTTCATACCTATGTAATGGCCTTTTTTTCCTATATTACCTTACAGCCTTTGGAGAACATCAGCTTGCCAGCAGCTCTGAGGTGCAAAATGGAAGTCCCATGTCTCAGACTGAGACTGTGTCTAGGTCAGTCGCACCCATGAGAGGTGGAGAGATCACTGCACACTGGCTCTTGACCAACAGCACAACATCTGCAGATGTGACAGGAAGCTCTGCTTCATATCCTGAAGGTGTGAATGCTTCAGTGTTGACCCAGTTCTCAGACTCTACTGTACAGTCTGGAGGAAGTCACACAGCATTGGGAGATAGGAGTTATTCAGAGTCTTCATCTACATCTTCCTCGGAAAGCTTGAATTCATCAGCACCACGTGGAGAACGTTCGAGTGAGTTTTTCCATTTCATGCAACTGTGCCCCATAGAGGAGAGAGGGACTCATGATGCTTATGAAATCTGTGGCGTATTAAAACCACGCATGAGGGCCTAGCGTGGTGGCTCACGCCTGTAATCCCAGCACTTTGGGAGGCCGAGGTGGGTGGATCATCTGAGGTGAGGGGTTCAAGACCTGACTGACCTACATGGTGAAACCCTGTCTCTACTAACAATACAAAAAATTAGCCGGGTGTGATGGCAGGCACCTGTAATCCCAGCTACTTGGGAGGCTGAGGCAGGAGAATCGTTTGAACCCAGGAGGTGGAGGTTGCAGTTAGCTGAGATCGCACCACTGCACTCCAGCCTGGGCGACAAAAGCGAAAGTGTCTCAAAAAAAAAAAAAAAAAAAAAGCATGCATGAATGAAATAACTCCTCAGGCCCCTCCACCTTCCTTCCTTATTTCCCAGGCCCTTCTTCTAGCTGGTTGATACAGATACACCTATATATCCCCCAGTTTTTTCTGGTACATCTCTGAGAAGCTGTTCTTGCCACTTCCTCTTCCCACACACAGCTCAGGGACTTCTCTGTCCACATCCTCTCATTCCCTGTAGCCAACCCATAACTCCATACCTGCCTCAGTCACAGAGCTTCTGGAAGGTGAAAATATCACCTTCTCGTTAGTAGTTGTCGGGGCATTCATCCAAATAAATTCTCTGTTTTTTAAAAACCAGCTTTATTGAGGTATATTTCATATTCCATAGTATTTGCCCATTTAAAGCACACAATTCAGTGATTTTTAGTGTAGTCACAAAGCTGTGCAGCATCACCACTGTCTAATTCCAGAGCATTTCCATCACCCCACAAAGAAACTCCAAACTCATCAGCAGTCAACTCCCATTCTCCCCTCCTCCCAGCCCCTGGCAATCACTCCTGTGCTTTCTGTCTCTGTAGATTTGTCCATTTTAGACATTTCCTATAAATGAAATCATACAATATGTGGTCCTTTGTGTCTTTCCCTTAGTGTCATGTTTTCAAGGTTCATCCACGTTGTATCACAACTTCGTTCCTTTTCGTGGCTTAATAATATGCCGTAGCAGGGATATACCACACTTTGTTTATCAATTGTCATCAATTGATGGATGTTTGGGTTGTTCCCACCTTTTGGCTATTATGAATAATGCTGTGGTGAACATTCAGGTACAAGTGTATATGTGGTCGTAAATTTTCAATTTATTTTTTTTTTTTTGAGATGGAGTCTCTCTCTGTTGCCCAGGCTAGAGTGCAGTGGCACCATCCCGGCTCACTGCAATCTCCGACTTCCGGGTTCACGCCATTCTCCTGCCTCAGCCTCCCGAGTAGCTGGGACTACAGGTGCCCACCACCACGCCTGGCTAATTTTTTTTTTTTTTTATATTTTCAGTAGAGACAGGGTTTCACCATGTTAGCCAGGATGGTCCCGATCTCCTGACCTCATGATCCGCCTGCTTCAGCCTCCCAAAGTGCTGGGATTGCAGGCATGAGCCACCATGCCTGGCCATAAATTTTCAATTATTTAGGAATGGCCAGGTTATGTGGCTGTGGCTGCTCTATTTTTAACCTTCTGAGGAACTGCCGAACTCTTTTCCAAAGTGGCTGCATCATTTTATATTCCCACCAGCTGTGTACAAGTGTTCTGATGTTGCTACATCTTCACCAACACTTGTAATTATCCATCTTTTCTGATTATAGCCATCTGAGTGGGGGTGGAGGCATCTCATTGTGGTTTTGACTTGTATTTTCCAGTTGACTAATAATGCTGAGCATCTTTTCATGTGCTTATTGGCCACTTGTATATCTTCTTTGAATATGTCTAGTCCAATCTTTTGACTATTAAAATTGGGTTATTTGACTTTTTATTATTAAATTGTAAGAGTTCTTTATGGCCGGCTGTGGTGGCTTACGCCTGTAATCCCAGCACTTTGGGAGGTCAAGGCGGGTGAATCACTTGAGGTCAGGAGTTCAAGACCAGCCCGGCCAACATGGCAAAACCCTGTCTCTACTAAAAATACAAAAATTAGCCAGACATAGTGGCACGTGCCTGTAATCTCAGCTACTTGGGAGGCTGAGGCAGGAGAATCACTTGAACCTGTGAGGTGGAGGTTGCAGTGAACTGAGATCATGCCACTGCACTCTAGCCTGGGTGACAAACAGACCCTGTCTCAAAAAAAAAAAAAAAGTTCTTTGCATATTTTGGATACAGTCCTTTATCAAATATATAATTTGCAGACATTTCTCCTATTCTGTGGGTTGTCTTTTCTCTTTCTTGATGGAATCATTTGTAGCACAAAAGTTTTTAAATTTGAAGAAGTCCAATTTGTCAATTTGAGAAAATTTTTCTTTTGATGTTTCTTTTTAATAATGCTTAGGGATAATTTTTTAAAACAATTCTCACAGTCTGTTATCAATGTAAAGTATATTCTGACTAAAGCAAAAATGTATTAGCTGATCATTTAAGCTTTGAATAGGTTTAAATTCTTACTTCTCCATCACTAGTTATAGCTTCATTTCCCCCATATAAGAATCCTAATTGATGAGGAAGATTAGCATTTATTAGTACTCACGTGATGTGGAAAAGCATATGCTTATCATGAAAGAATACCACACACACAAGCGGGGGATATTTATGCTCTTTTATGTTTGTGCCTGGAAAACACATTATCTATGTCCTAAGCAAAAGGAATCATTTTTCACCCTCACTACTGTGGGGGTCAGGACTTCTACCTTCTCAAACCAGGATCTTGAGTTTCATAGCCTTTCTCTTTTACATCTCTTCAGTACCCGCTTCTCTGCAATTAATGCTCAGTTGGTTCATGAGGAACATATGATTTCAGTGTGATCAGATCTTGGAGTTCATTTATAAAGAGCTAGATAGAAAGTAGCCACATTCCTGAAACCATCTCACTGTGGGTTAACACAATACTTTATCTTTTTCCCTCAGAGTCACCCAAAGCTGGCGGGGTTCTGCACTCCGGCCTTTTAGAGTTCTTGGCCCGCTCCCTTTTCTGCATTCAGAGTCTCCATTTCATGTCTGACTCTCTCTCTACTTTGTTAAGCCTGTAACCCTGATGTGGTCATTGGCCTAAATTTCATTTAACAGAGAGTTTAGGATCTCCCCATCCAAGACCTTTTTCTCTTTGCCCAGAGAAATCGTACTTAGATCCTGCTCTTGCGCCTCTCCTGGTTGGCTCTCCACAGGTCTTGAGCCCTTCAGACTGGCTTGAGTCGCATCTCTGTCTGGCTTCTGGCTTTCTCAGTGATGCTCGTGGCCCGTGCTCATTCCTGTCTCTGTCAATTCAAACCTATCCCAAAATGAATTTAGCCAACACTCAGCTTTACACTGTTTTCCATCAAAGCATGGCCATGGCGTACTGACAGCCAGTCTGGGCTGGGAATGTGAATAAGAACCAGAAAAGAGCCTGTTTTTTGTTTTTTGGGTTTTTTTTTCTTTTTGTACAGCCAGATTAGGAAGGATTTAGGCCAAGGAGAATTGGACCTCATTTTCATCATTTCTGAAGAGAAGGGTTTATCTGATAATCTAACAATCTAAAATTAGTTCTAAGACCCTTTAGGTTTGTAGCATAAACACATACCCAAAAGAGAATGAAACAGACATTTATTCATGTGTCGTCTGCCCTCTTCCATCCCCATCAATAGAATAAAACACATGCATTTTAAAAAATAAAAGAAGACAAAAAAACAAGCCCACCTTTCACCCCCCACCTCAGGCTGTTTCTTTGCCATTGTACTAATGCCGTGTAATGACTGGCCTTGTGGCCATTCATGTATTCCTGGTCCTTCCGGGAGGAAGAGCCTTCCAAGGAGGACTATGGCCTCCCTTCTGGGCCTTGTGCAAATGTCTGAAGCCCCAGTAGGATTATTAGTCTTTCACCAACTGTTTACCTCCTCACCACCACTACCAATTTCTCTGACATAAACTCTATTTATTATGTATCACTGAGCAGAAATCTAGTATCGATCCTATTTGCTAAAGTAATATACCCTCCTATAAATCCAGGGTGCCTGAACAGTTGTGCTGATCCACAGTTCCTCTTGAGGTTTCAATCACTGAGCCATGTTTGCAAGGGCAACAGACATCTCAGATAAAGACCCTAAAAGTACAGGGGAGCGTCTTGGCTCCCACAGCCCAGGAAGTGAGGCTTGGGGCACGATCCTGTCGCTCCAGCCCTGCATTTTTCAGCCATCCTCTTTCACTCTACTTTTAGCCTTGGAAGACAGCCGAGAGCCAGGCCAAGCACTAGGTGACAGTTCCGCCAATGCAGAGGACAGGACTTCTGGGGTGCCCTCTCTCGGCACCCACACCTTGGCTACTGTCACTGGAAACGGGGAACGCACACTGCGGTCTGTCACCCTCACCAACACCAGCATGAGCACGACTTCTGGGGAAGCAGGCAGCCCTGCAGCGGCCATGCACCAAGAAACAGAGGGTGCCTCTCTGCACGTAAACGTGACGGACGACATGGGCCTGGTCTCACGGTCACTGGCCGCCTCCAGTGCACTCGGAGGTGGGGTGTCTTCCACAGTCTCTTTTAACACATCCCTTCAGCTCATCTATTAATTTACTCACCGTCCTGGGATGATTCAGTTAGCTGTCAAGCCAGAAAGTGCCTTACAAGCTCTTTATGGAGAGAACTTTCTAGATTCTCCCACCTCAGGAAGGTGAATACCCCTCCCCAGTTCCCACCCCCAGCCCTCCACACACACTCACCTAAGGAATTTGGGATAGTGTTTGCTGGGAGACTTAAAATAAGAGACCAACCACTTGTGGCTAAGGTCAATCTCCTGGGAAAGAAATATCTCATTCTATAGAATGGAAAGTTGGGAAGATTTTCCTTTTTTCATTTAGGCATAACAGTTATTCTATTTGGGGTCTTAAGAGCTTTTCAGATACCAGTTTGCTTTTATCGAAAAAGGCATGTGGAGGAAATTTGCAACTCCTCTCCATTTTTAGACCCTTAGTCCCCACTTCTCTTTTGTTACCATTTCCACTGCCGCTACCACTGCTTCTCTCAGGAGGTCAGTCTGCTCAGAGGAGACACTGACCACTCCTGCCTGCCCACAATGTCTTTATTCAGAGTGCTCACCCTTGAAAACCACCTCTCCAAAGCAAGTGTTTCACCCACTTGAATTCATTGAGTTTCATGACACTGAAAGTCTGTTTGATAGTGCATATTTCAGAGTTTTGTTGTTCTTTTATTTGACCTAACTTTGGCTTTTCCGTTTACAGTCGCTGGGATTAGCTACGGTCAAGTGCGTGGCACAGCTATTGAACAAAGGACTTCCAGCGACCACACAGACCACACCTACCTGTCATCTACTTTCACCAAAGGAGAACGGGCGTTACTGTCCATTACAGATAACAGTTCATCCTCAGACATTGTGGAGAGCTCAACTTCTTATATTAAAATCTCAAACTCTTCACATTCAGAGTATTCCTCCTTTTTTCATGCTCAGACTGAGAGAAGTAACATCTCATCCTATGACGGGGAATATGCTCAGCCTTCTACTGAGTCGCCAGTTCTGCATACATCCAACCTTCCGTCCTACACACCCACCATTAATATGCCGAACACTTCGGTTGTTCTGGACACTGATGCTGAGTTTGTTAGTGACTCCTCCTCCTCCTCTTCCTCCTCCTCCTCTTCTTCTTCTTCAGGGCCTCCTTTGCCTCTGCCCTCTGTGTCACAATCCCACCATTTATTTTCATCAATTTTACCATCAACCAGGGCCTCTGTGCATCTACTAAAGTCTACCTCTGATGCATCCACACCATGGTCTTCCTCACCATCACCTTTACCAGTATCCTTAACGACATCTACATCTGCCCCACTTTCTGTCTCACAAACAACCTTGCCACAGTCATCTTCTACCCCTGTCCTGCCCAGGGCAAGGGAGACTCCTGTGACTTCATTTCAGACATCAACAATGACATCATTCATGACAATGCTCCATAGTAGTCAAACTGCAGACCTTAAGAGCCAGAGCACCCCACACCAAGAGAAAGTCATTACAGAATCAAAGTCACCAAGCCTGGTGTCTCTGCCCACAGAGTCCACCAAAGCTGTAACAACAAACTCTCCTTTGCCTCCATCCTTAACAGAGTCCTCCACAGAGCAAACCCTTCCAGCCACAAGCACCAACTTAGCACAAATGTCTCCAACTTTCACAACTACCATTCTGAAGACCTCTCAGCCTCTTATGACCACTCCTGGCACCCTGTCAAGCACAGCATCTCTGGTCACTGGCCCTATAGCCGTACAGACTACAGCTGGAAAACAGCTCTCGCTGACCCATCCTGAAATACTAGTTCCTCAAATCTCAACAGAAGGTGGCATCAGCACAGAAAGGAACCGAGTGATTGTGGATGCTACCACTGGATTGATCCCTTTGACCAGTGTACCCACATCAGCAAAAGAAATGACCACAAAGCTTGGCGTTACAGCAGAGTACAGCCCAGCTTCACGTTCCCTCGGAACATCTCCTTCTCCCCAAACCACAGTTGTTTCCACGGCTGAAGACTTGGCTCCCAAATCTGCCACCTTTGCTGTTCAGAGCAGCACACAGTCACCAACAACAGTGTCCTCTTCAGCCTCAGGTAAAACACAGTCACACAAGCACATGTTAACTGCAAGGCCCAGTCCAGCACTGAGAGCTACATGGGGCTCGGGGTTCATGTGAATTTGTAGAAATGGCTGGCATTTGAAATAGCTTCTGTTTTGCGACCTAAAATGCTTCCTATTGAAACACTTAAAGTGTAAAAGAAGGTCATGGGTGGGCCTAATTTTCTCACCCCTGTGTTGTATAATGCTTCCTGAATAAAGAGGAAAGGATGCATTGGCCATGTGTCACATTAGTAGATGGTACAATTGCAGCTTTTAGTGCCCTGTAGTTGTAAGAGCTTTTCAAGCATGCCGTTAACTCCTCAGAGGTCAGAGGAGGGCAGTGATGCAGGATTGTAGGGTGGAGAAACTCAAGTAAAGAAGCTTAGGAGGCCTGGCTGACACAGGGATCAACTGGGTATCTGCGTCTGGATCAGATCCCAGAGTCTCTGAGTCAGGGGCTCCCCAGTCACCAGGGAGCTTCTTGGCGTCACTGGGCTTCTCTTGATCCAGGGAAGCCCAAGCTCCTTTGTCTCCGAAAGAGTGTGTGGCTAGTTGATAAATGGGAGTGGGGAGACATGTAAATGAAAAGATGGTGAACTAACCTTTTCCCACAGTGACCGCACGGCCAGAGCTCCTTTACATCACACTTAGGGTTGTTTTTGTAGCCACGTTGAAGTTGCTGGTACCAGGAAAGTAAAGCCAGCCAAATGATCCTTTGTCATTTAAGGAACGGTAGAAGGAAGTAGGATGATGCAGCTTTTCATGTCATGTTCAAAGTTACACTTCTGGCTTGTCCAGACATGGGAAAGGAAAACTGCTGTTGGAGGAGTGAAATGGAAACTGGCGTCTTAGGGAAGAAGGAAAGAAGAGATGATGCTTTGTAGTGGCTGGAGCAGAAAGCTCAGGGAGCAGCACAGTTCCAACCTGTCAGCCACAATCAACCTGGGCTGGAGGCTCATAAGCAAACCACCCCCATGCCAAGCCCCACAGTGCCCCTTTGTATCAGTGATCTGAGCACCTCTGGGAAATGAAAGGTGGCTGTTTCTCCAGGGAAGTTTGGGAGCCTTGCTTCAAGGCCTATAGCCTTCAGTTTCAGAGGCCACATATATTCCAGTGCCAGATGAAATCTAATTCACAAGTCTCCCTTAAAGCCATTAGCCATTCTGATGATAACTGTAGGCAAGTATTAGGGGCAGATTCACTGGCTGTTACTATATTTTTTGTGCCAGTGTTCATGGGTTAGTGTTTGGCTATATAAGTGCTGTGCTTCTATGGGTGATTTTAGATAACACTTGACATGGCAATACAGGATAGGAACACCATCTTTAGGTTTAGCTCATTTGTTTTCAGGGTTACTATTTTTTTTTTTTGAGTGAAGACTTGACTTTTACCTTCTTTTTTTCATTCCACCACTGATTTCCTTTTTGCAGACAATGCAGTTATGTTGTAGGCTTCGGCTTCTCTAAGTATGTCAGAAACCTGTATGAAGCATATTACATAGCTGCTCAACTCTGATCATTTTCTAAATATGGCACAATATGTGGAGGCTGAGTTACATTTGGAGATTTTGGAGTAAAGGATACTATGATTTTGATAAAGAAAGCCCAAGAGAAAGGGCAGGGCACGTGTGCACAGACACACAGACACACGTATACAGAGTAAATCTTCTAGCGGGGGAATGAGTTGATCAGAGATCCTTTTCCCCCCTAAAGTGTGCTTTCAATTGGCATTGATTCAAGTAGAATTTTCTTAAGTGTCACAAAGGCAATATAATCATCAATCCTGAATGGAGTGACCTGTAAGCAGCATTTGATTACAATCAGTTCTTGCATTCAGGGATCCCATTGTCTGACACTTAGATCTGGACACAAGCTAGTACCAGGACCCAGTCCCAATGCACCTCTGGGAAACCCATTTTACTTTTGTAATGTGGCCTTTCAGGGCAAGTAAACAGAAATAAGCAAGAATCAAATATTAGCTGGGAGAATTAAATATTTACCTAAAGCTGCCTTTACATTTCCTGTGTGGTTAACTGCTTTACTCCTGGAATGTGTTTGTAGTCAACAGCTGTGCTGTGAACCCTTGTCTTCACAATGGCGAATGCGTCGCAGACAACACCAGCCGTGGCTACCACTGCAGGTGCCCGCCTTCCTGGCAAGGGGATGATTGCAGTGTGGGTAAGAGAAAAAGTAACGCCCAGTGGTCTGCACCACAGTACCACGTTGGGCTACCCAATAAACTCCTTTTTCCTCCAAAATGTGGACAAATACACTGTTTTAGTTAATACCCTGCTTACTTGAGAGTCAGCATGTTTGTAGGTTGTGATCTGCAGGAGAATGTCAGGAACTGTAGTGTGGCACTGCCAGACTTCCTGATCTGTGTCTGTTCCCAACACTCCTGCCACACTGTACCCTATTCCTGCCCCTGGACTTTACTGTGCTGATGCCTCAGGCTGGAATCCCCCCACTGCCACCCTAATCTATTGATTAAAGTCCTTCCAGTTGTAGTCCAGATGTTATGTGAAACAGTCTTTAATTCTCCCCTCCATTAAAATTTGCTGTTTCCCCCGTATATGCAAATCTTGTCTTGTATTTACAGTTAGTTGTTTATGTGGCCACCTCCACCCTCAATAGATGGCAAGCCCCTTGAGGGCAAGAGTGTTCTCATACTTATCCTTTGGGGTCTCACCACACCTAGCACCATTTGGCCCTTAGTAAGTACTTACTACACTGGGTTATGGTTTTGCTGTTTGCTACAGATGCAAGATGTTCTTCTTTTTTCTCCTCTACAGATGTGAATGAGTGCCTGTCGAACCCCTGCCCATCCACAGCCATGTGCAACAATACTCAGGGATCCTTTATCTGCAAATGCCCGGTTGGGTACCAGTTGGAAAAAGGGATATGCAATTTGGGTAAGAGACTTAGTCTATTTCGGACTTTATTCCGTACCACAATATATTTTACAAGGTAACATTTGTTATTTTTCTTGCTAACCAAAATCAGTATTTGTCCAAGGTATAAACTTAAGGAATATAGAAAAAAGTGGAAGCTATTGTCCATTATTCTAATACTTGGAGATAGAACACCCTACTTTGCATTATGTTTTTGATGTGCAGTATATTTTTACATAGTTGAAATCATAGGATATCTGTATAAACTTTATATCTTAAACATTTTCCTGTGTTGTTAAAAACATTGTACAAACATCTTAATGACGGCATATTATGCCATCATTTGTGTATAATATTATTTGCTTAACCACTCCACCCTGGAGCTAGGAAAAAAAAAGTCAAAAGGATTATTCTGACCACATAATAAAAAAAAAAAAAACAATTTAGATGGAGAAAAGAGAGAGTAAAACTCTGATTGTCCTACCACATTCACACATTCTTTCAGTTTTTAAAAATGACCTTCATGCTCTTGCTCATAGGCAGATACATTTTGAGAAAGCTGCTGTCCTAACTGTATCACACAATTTGTCATATTTTGTTCACTAATTTGATAGATTCATGATGAAGCTGTTTGATTTTGAAAATAATCTCCATTTTACAAGTTAAAAAGCAAGCAAACAAACCAAACGAAAACCAAGGCCTTCACAAGGTGCTAAGTGGCCAAGCTTACGTAACGGGTTGGTGGGAAGCCTGGTTCCCAGCCCACAGCTCTTTCTATTACATGATAATGTGTTAACTTTAGGAGCTTTCTTGCTTGCAGGGTGTGACCCTTGTTAGAATGTCAAGTTTAATACATAACTTGTTGAAGAAGTTAGAAATGAAAGATACAGAGTTTTTTGTTTTTGTGTTTTTTGTTTTTTGTTTTTTTTGAGACGGAGTCTCACTCTGTTGCCCAGGCTGTGGTGCAGTGGCACCATCTCAGCTCTCTGCGACCTCCACCTTCCAGGTTCAAGCGATTTTCATGCCTCAGCCTCCAAATAGCTGGGATTACAGGCATGCACCACCATGCCCAGCTGATTTTTGTATTTTTAGTATAGAAGGGGCTTTGCCATGTTGGCCATGCTCTCGAACTCCTGACCTCAAGTGATCTGCCTGCCTTGGCCTCCCAACGTGCTGGGATTACAGGTGTGAGCTACTGTGCCTGGCCAGATACAGAGTTTCTAAGCTAAGTAAGGAAACTGGCAGATAAAATAACTCATCTTTCAGTCATCTTAAATTGCCCAGTGTGACACTTAACACACAAAAAGTGCTCAGTGTTTTTGAGAGAGCAAATGTCTGTATCCTTTGAAAGTGCTATTACCTGTGGGCTGAAGAGAATTTTTAAGAAGTACCCTACCAAAATAATGGTAGAATTTTGAAAATTGTTTAAAATACAAAGATCAAGTCAAAACATTGTTTCAAAAAGAAGGATCTAGAAATAGAGACATCAGTCAAAATCAAGAATTTCTCTCATTCTGGCCTGGTGTAGTGGCTTATGCCTGTAATCCCAACACTTTGGCAGGCTGAGGCGGGCTGATCACTTGAGATCAGGAATTCAAGACCAGCCTGGTCCACATGGTCAAACCCTGACTCTACTAAAATTACACAAATTAGCCAGGCATGGTGGCACACACCTGTGGTCCTAGCTATTTGGGAGGCCAAGGCATGAGAATTGCTTGAACCCGGCAGCTGGAGGTTGTGGTGAGTCGAGATTGTATCACTACATTCCAGCCTGGGCTGCACAGTGAGACTCTGTCTCAAAAAAAAAAAAAAGAATTTCTTTTATTCTAATAATTTACTTGCATTTTAGTAAACTATTTAGCCACGCACTAAGATATTGCCAGGAGTTTTCAGTTTAAGAATAGAGAAGCTGGAAATGATTTTATTTTTAAGGATTGTGGGGAAAGTGTATTTGCCCAGGACTCAAATGATTTGCTTCTAGCTCCAGGGCCACCACCTATAGCACATGGCTTCTGAGCCCTATATTTCCTCATCTGTAAAATCAGATTACCATCTGTCCTGCTTCCCACTCAAGATTATTGTGAAGATCAAGTAAAGTAATATATTTGAGCAAGCTTTGAAAATGGTAAAGAGCTGTCCAGATGGGAGGTACCATTTAACTTTAGTCTTCAAACTCTTGGACCAGAATTGAAAGCATTGAAAACAATAAACTGTGCTGAATACAAAGTAATAATTATGGCTCTTTCCCAAAAAAATCATTTAGATAACATAGGGAAATCAACATTTAAATTGGAAGTAAAACTTCTACTTAAAGCCAGGTGCTGTAACTGCAGGCGTAAAGGTGTAAGTGTCTTTAAAAAAAAACAACAAAAAACTCTGCCTGGAGTGAGTGCAGGGTTTGGAATGAAACTGATATATCTTTATATTCACACCAAAAGCAGATGCCACGTTTACTGTCCTGACTCAGAATAGATCTACGTACCTGACATTTGCGATGTGAATTTCTTTTTTTTTTTTTTTTTTTTTTGAGACGGAGTCTCGCTCTGTCGCCCAGGCTGGAGTGCAGTGGCGGGATCTCGGCTCACTGCAAGCTCCGCCTCCCGGGTTCACGCCATTCTCCTGCCTCAGCCTCCCAAGTAGCTGGGACTACAGGCGCCCGCCACTACGCCCGGCTAATTTTTTGTATTTTTAGTAGAGACGGGGTTTCACCGTTTTAGCCGGGATGGTCTCGATCTCCTGACCTCGTGATCCGCCCGCCTCGGCCTCCCAAAGTGCTGGGATTACAGGCGTGAGCCACCGCGCCCGGCCTGCGATGTGAATTTCTATACAGAGAGTCTGGGTATCAGCCTAGACACGTGAGATGAGAAAGTGAAGAAGCAGGACCATTGTTCTGGAAGCCTGCGTGCAGAGGGTTCCACAGGTAGCACAGCTCAGGAGGAGAGCAGCACTATCGCCTTCACAATCATCTTTCCCTTTTCAAGTCATTTAGCTTCATTGTTCATAAACATCAGAGGAACATGCAAATTAGAGCATGCTGAAATGCTTTCATTTGGCCAAGAATGTTTTCAGAGAGCTCCCTGCTGCTCAGAAAGAGTCCTAAGCAGCTGGCTTCACTGAACTGTAGAACAAGCAAAAAGATGTTAAGTAAGGATTAAGCGCTTTAGACAGTAAGTGTAAGATGTTAAATGTTTTCCCTGGCTCATTTGTGGGTCTTTTTCTCAATTCGGCATGCAGGCTTTCGGGGAAAGAGCAGCTTCATGGACTTCTGTGTCTTGAGTTATTTGTTTTCCATCCGGAGGGAAAGATAAGCATTTAATATAAAGGAAGATAAGAGCCAGCAATAAAACACACCATACTAAATTTTGGTTGCCTGCCCATTTGTAAGTCCCGTTCCCCTCAGGCTCAATCAGCACAAATTGATGTTAACTGGAATTTTATTTTATGAGTGAAATGGGCCTTGAAAATGAGGCTGCTTTTTTTCATTTCCGAACCCAACAGTGTCTTGAATATGGGCTGTTTTCATTATGTGGCTTATAATCATGGAGTCGGCAGCCCCATGGAGTATAGCCCCACGACACATGCTTGGCACCTTTCTTTCTCTCAAGTCCCTTGGGTGTCCTTAGGATATCAGATTCCTCAGGGCACAGAGGTTATAGGGGAAAGGAGAGCTTTGAAGATGGACACGCATACGCTCCAATGCCAGTGGTGGCCCTTGGGAGCCTGGGTGAGCTTTCTTAGGAAGTTGCCTGACCTCTGGAAGCCCCCTTTATCAATGATAAAATGGGAATTTCCTCTGACCAAGAGGAATGGGGTTTGGATGGGTGTGGCTCTAAGGACAAGAGGAAACTGAAGCACCCCCTTGAAGTGGTGGGCATGACTCAGTTGGAGACCTCAGAGGACGAGAGCTTTCCTCTGTCGAAAGCCTGATGAGGCCTGAGGAGCATTTTTAGTGTCTAACACATCTCCCTCCCTCCTCCTAGGATGACATTGTTTAGACCTGTTCATCTTTCTTCTTTGTAGCAGCTTTCTTGGGCATCTATTGTGCGGGAGGCCATCCTAGGGACATTGCTAAGGCTCCTCCTCTTAGCAGCCTTGCACATACAAAAAAGGCTCTTTGGAGTTTCTCTCTCTCTCAAAAGTTTGCTCAATCTAAGCCTTCAGCACAGTCCAGTAGATGCTCACTTTGCTAGAGAAAAATCTAGAAGAGGGAGAGGGAGTCTTCACCCATAAGGAGAAAGAAATGCAGAGATTGTCCTGTGAGGTGGAGTAAAGCCGGACACCCCAGAGATGTGCAAACACACAGCCTTGCATAGGTTCTTCTGTTGTGTAATCTAACAAGTTACATTTTCATTTTCAGTTAGAACCTTCGTGACAGAGTTTAAATTAAAGAGAACTTTTCTTAATACAACTGTGGAAAAACATTCAGACCTACAAGAAGTTGAAAATGAGATCACCAAAACGGTAAGTGTCCTGAATGGCATCTTTCTACTCGTCTTTTGTTTCCTAGAACAGATTTTATTCCAAGAGGGGACTGCCTAGCGGTCAGCTGTGTCTCCTGGGCTCTTCACTTTTGTTATATTTGGAAGGGAAACTTCTTGGTTAAAGAAAAAGCCTTTCAGAAATGGAAGTGAGGTATTTGTGCCCAGTAGAAGAGTTTCTTCAAATGTGTCCTCATGCACAGTCTTTATCTGCACCTTTGTGTTTCTTTTCCATGTGCAAACTCATAGTTACAGACATGCTGATGACAGGCATCAGCAGGAGCTGTTGGTGAGGAGGAAAGACCCAGAAAAATCTTACGGTCCCATCTGCTGTTAACAGGCTGTGTGACTTTCCTCTTGTATTTTGGAACTTAGGGAAATGATACTCTTTTTCCTCAAAGGAATGCCAAAGGTGCAGCAGTTAATCCTGATGTCCTAGGGTTTGAGAACTCACTGTATAGATGACCGAGGGGTCTTTGATTCTGCTTCTTTCCCTCTTTGCCCGCTTTTTATCAGAATTTTTTTTTTTTTAAAGAAAAATGCCATCCTGGGCAGCATGGCAAGACCCTGTCTCTACAAAAAAGACAAAAGTTAGCTAGGGTTGGTGGCGTGCACGTGTGGTCCCAGCTACTCAGGAGGCTGAGGTGGGAAGATTACATGAGCCCCAGAGGTTGAGGCTGTGGTGAGCCGTGATCGAACAACTGCACTCCAGCCTGGGTGACAGAGTGAGACCCTGTCTCAAAAACAAAAGAAACCCCCCAAAACAGAAACAACTAAAAAGGAAAATGGAGAGGAAGAAAGAAGACAGGAAAATGAAGCTCATATAATAAACTTTGCTTCTCAACTGCTATCTGAGTCAGAGATTTGACTCATCTATACAGTGAGTTCTTAAACTCTAGGTTCAGAAAATTGAAATTTGCCATTAAAAAACTTTAGAGATGAATTGATTTCCAATCTCAATGTTACTTGTTCTTTGTGGATAAGAGTTAGTATATTAGCTAGGAATTATACATTTCTACAGGACTTTGGACTTTATCTGTGTAAAATACGGATCTAGTTCTATTTCTCTATCTCCTGAGCATTCACTTCATGATAGGGACGATGTCAGATGGCGCACTCCTGTAACAGGCATTGCCAGCACATCTGCAGATAGAACCCCGGGAGGTCTGGAAGTGAATGACATTGCCTGAGTCCACGCAGAGCAGGTGCAAAGTTGGGGAACAGTCCACTAAACCACCATCACTACTGATACCAATTTCAAGTTCAGGCATCCCCAAGATCGCCCTCAGTTTCAATAATTCACTAGAGGAGTCACAGAGCTTACTAAAAGCGATTATATTAACAGCTACGGTTTATTACAGTGAAAGTCAACAGCTTAAAATCAGCCAAGGAAAGAGATGCACGGGGCAGAGAGTCCGGGAGAGTTCCAAAGGCAGAGCTTCCAGCTGTCGTCCCGCTGAGGAGTCATGCACAGTGTTAACTCCTCCTGGCAACAGTGTGTCCAGTATGCAGGGAGTACTGCCAACCACGGAAGCTCTCCAGAGCCTTGACTGGGGCTTTGTCATGTGGCTGACCTCAATCTCCAGCCCCTCTAGAGGTTGAGCTGATACCATGTTACCCAACCCCACCATAAATCACATTGTTGGACTCTCTGGCATGGCCCAGCACCCCCAGGTAAACAAAGAAGTTTTTATTAGACAGCACATTCCAAGGGCTTAGAGATGGCCTCCCAGGATCCAAGAGCAAAGGCCTGACTTCCCTGGGGCCAAGGTTAAATTCTTTACTACACAGCAGAATTTTATGTCTACTAATCCTATACTTGTCCCTTCGCCACAGCTGCCTGTTGGTCGTGCTGCAGGTGGATATCTCCTGCTAAGATAATACAGGGATTTAGAACCCTTTGCAGAAGTGCAGTCCTTTGCATTACGTGGCGCTCAGTGACTTATTTGACTTGCTATTTTTTGCCCAGTATCAATGTATAATTTACTGGTGATGTAACATACCTGTCCCCAAGAAAGAGTGAAGATTAATCCATCATTGGCTGAGGAAGCCACTCAAATGTTCTTTCCCGAGGTGTTCTGTTTACCAAACCTGGAAAAACAGGTTAATAATAAAACAACAATAATAAATCATTGCTATTAGGCTATACACTGATGTCATAGAAAGGGTTTGATAATGTCCCATGTTTGCCTCCATCTTCTGCAGAGTGGCATGTATCTGATACATGGGCCTTGAACACAGGTGGATCTGCACTGGGCCCAGTACTGAGACCCTCCACTCCGGGAAAGGAGTCTCGATAGCTCCTATTGTGCAGGGTAGCAGGGAAGCAGGCCTGATATTTCATGCTGTAGAGGGATTTTCTGCCGTCTCCAAGGGCACAAGGCAAACATAGGGAGAGTAGCTCTTAATTTGCTCTCAACAAAGGGGCTCTTGACCCACATAATGTAATTTCTCACGGAGAGCCTTTTTGAAGAAGACCTGTCTTTGAGTTAGGTCAACTCATTGTAGATTATGAGGCGTCTATGTAGGGCCTGTCAGACCTAGAGTAGCTGAAAGGAGCCTTTCCAGTGCAGCTCGTTCACTATGCAGAGTCCAAATAAACAGTTGCCTCTGAGTTGTTTGAAACCCTGGGCCTTAAAAGAGAGCTGCTTCTTTGAAGATGTTTTGCATCCAAGGGTGCTATTCTGAACATCATTTCCTGCCAAGATTTTCCCCACTGATTTACTCTCTGCCTCTTTCTCTTTGTACTCATGGAACAACAGAAAGGCATTTAAGAGGGGAACAAAAAAAGGACACCACTTCTGTGCAAAGCCGCGTGCTGATAACTTGATGGCTGGAAAATGCCTGTTTTATCCTGAAAATAGGAAACTGGTTCTAGGTCCAAGGCTTTTGTCTAACTCACTGTTAACGACAGGCTTGTTCTTCCTTTCAGTTAAATATGTGTTTTTCAGCGTTACCTAGTTACATCCGATCTACAGTTCACGCCTCTAGGTAAGTAACAGAATTATATTTGCTTGTGAACTAGTCTGTACAAAGGGGAGGCTGTTCTAACATGGGTGATAGCAACAAAACCGGGCTGTTTTCACCCAGCCATGGGGCAATCCAGGGCCAAGGTCACTGACCTTCATGCTCTCCCATCCCGTCACTGGTGAATGGCGATGACATTCATTTCCAAAAGCCTTGGGACCCACGTGTCATTTCAGGGCTGTTAAAAACCCACAAACTTTGCCTATAGGGAGTCCAACGCGGTGGTGATCTCACTGCAAACAACCTTTTCCCTGGCCTCCAATGTGACGCTATTTGACCTGGCTGATAGGATGCAGAAATGTGTCAACTCCTGCAAGTCCTCTGCTGAGGTCTGCCAGCTCTTGGGATCTCAGAGGCGGATCTTTAGAGGTAAGAGGGCAGCCCTCTGGGAGGATCCTACCCATATAGTTAGGCACAGACCTAAGATGGAAATGCAAGGCATCCAGGGCTCAGGCCCAGGAAAGGCCCTCACAGAGCCTATTTTTGGCATGGGTGTTAAGTCAAAGACCTTTGTGCACATGCATCTTCTTTTATGTGTGCATGCATGTACAAACATGCACACACACACCCAGAGTCCTGTACACAAGCCTTGAAGACACCTGGTCCTTGGCATGCAGCTCCTTCTGTTTATTTTATCCAGTGTTGATGTGGGAGGGGGAGGGGCATAGGAGCTGATGTGACAAAGCAGAAATCACTCTTTTTCCACTGAAAAGTTCCTGCTCTCTTTGGGGAAACAGAATGTACATGCTTGTCAATGACCCAAAAAAACCTTCATCTGGCCAGAGGCAGTGGCTCACACCTGTAATCCCAGTACTATGGGAGGCTGAGGTACCCTTAAGCCCAGGAGTTCGAGGCTGCAATGAGCTATGATTGCACCACTGCACCCCAGCCTGGGCCACAGAGTGAGACCCTGCCTCAAAAAACAGAATAAACAACCACCACCAAAACCTTCATCATGATACATTATTAGGTTAAAAAAAAAAAAAGCATGTGCAGTATTACCCATCCTTTGTGTTTGTTTGTTTGCACATTATAAATGCACAGAAACAAAACCAGAAGAATGGAGGCCAGAATGCCCACAGTGGCGCCATAAACAATTATTTTCCTTTTCTCATTCTTGCTTTGTCTGTTTTGTCAAAAGCTTCTATAGTGCCTCTGGTGTGAGGCAAATGAAGAAAGGGATTGGAGACAAGTTCAAAAGGGAAGTTTTGGTCTTAGAGGAGAAGTTTCACCTCCAGGACAGGAAAACTCAACTGGAATCTAAAGTACTTCTTTGCAAAGGGGGCTTGTCCCTGTTGCCACGTGCTACATGATCAAAGTTAGCTCATTTTACTACACAAGTAGGGCTGGCAAAGGATGGAGAATCTAGTCTAAACCACCCATCTGGCATCCAGACGCTGGACATGAGTAGAAGATATCAGGTTGTAACAGTCTGCTGGTAGATCCATGACATTGACATTCCCAGTGGGCCTGGGTTCCATAACTTCCAGTCAAGAGAGCTTTCTGGAGTGGGCCTGTATATTACAGAGCTTGGGAGCCAGATTGTTAGCCCTTCATTCTGGGATAAGAGCTGGAGCTTGGCCCATTTAAGGCTAGTTATTAATCTGAGAAAAAAAAAAAAAGCTAAACTTTCTGAAGTTGAAGTTACTATTGATGGGGGAGTGAGGTAGAAAGGTCATGCCCCATTATATCATGCTCGAAACTTTGAGACTCTATGGTTTTACTTTTTTGTTTCTCTTGACAAGGATTCAAGGGTACCAAGTTGTCCTCCCCAGTGAGGTAGGAAAGTCACCTTTCAGTTCACTAAATATTTATGGAATACATTCTATGTGATCAACATTGCACCAGGTTACTTTTTGTTTCCCATAAATGCATTCAAATCAAGTGCCTTGCAAATCAAGTGCCAGCCATTTGGATTTGAAAGAGCCTGCTCATGGCAGCCCTACCCACCCTCTGACTCCCATTCTTCCGACTGCTTGTATATGGTTTATGGGAAAGTACCTCTCACCCTTGCTGCCTTGCTGAAGTTCCTATTTACTTCTCCTTTCAGAGCCCGTGAGAACAAAGACAGCTATGCATATTAGCTGAAAAAAACAGGCTTGTTTCCCTGTTTTTCCTCCCAGGTCTTCTCCAGGTTTTGCCAAGACCAGCCTGGTCTCATGCTAACCTTTCTGAGTACTAGAGAGGTGGCCTTGACAGCTTCTGACATCTGGGTGTTTCCAGCATAAGGGCAGTGCTGGGCTACTCTGGACACTGCCATTGGAAAGGAGGGTTTTCTGTCTTCACTTCATAAAATATCCACTTCCTTGCCTTTCAAAGAACTGCAGCTCTTGTCATCTCCAGAGGTTTAGTCTTTGGAAATCCCCCATGGAATGTCTCAGCTTTAGATTTACTTAGAGTCTCATTGTCTGTTTTGGCGGATGTTATGCCCAGGAAAGACCATGGGAATTGTGAATGTAGCAAAATCACATTGCCAGGCTTTATATGAAAATGGGATTCTACGTGGTCCTATTGGATGAATTTATGGTAGAATATTCTTTGAGAATTTGTAGGGTAGCAACTCCTCCACTGCAGAGGCAGGGCCTGTGTCCCATGCTTTTGCATGGATCTGCTTCTGTGCAGGGCACAGTTGCTCCAGCAGAGTGATTTGCCAGCAGGCTGGATTAATGGGCAGGGTGGAAGGAAAACGTGACATTGGCTTCCAGAAAATATCTAATCAGGCCAGGCAACTCTGGCTGGCTGCTGGACAAGGCAAGTGTCAGCCTGGACAGGTTTCTGCCCTGGAGGAATTTCTTTATATTAAGGCTTGAGGACTGGCAAAGCCTTCAAAGAGTTGAGATGAGGGATTGTGGAAGTTCATTACCTCCCTGGTGCCAGCTTTGCAGTGTTTGCCTGGTGAGATTTTCCATTTTTAATTTTTCTCCCTTAAATACAAACTTTTTACAATAAACAAAGGAAATTCTGTCACACACACAAATGTGGTTCTGATTGAGCACGCTAGCTTCCACTGATAAAGGCAGGAAATTCAGCTTTGAGAACTAGAGTTGTGTCCTAAGCTTACCTCGTGTGACCAGGCTGTCTACCGGTCCTGAGTTCTCAGGACTCACAAAAGGGGGCAGATTTCAGGAACCCCATGTGGGGTGGCAGCTCATGTCACCAAAACCTGCCTGGGCAGGGGCAGTTTTGCAGCATTAAAAGGGGTACCTGGCTTCTGAATAGGTTGGCTTCCTCCTTTGGGTGGGAAATGGGAGACCATGCCTGGAAAATTGGCAGCCATTCCTCCCTGCACAATAGATACATGGCCCTTCCCCTTGCATCTTTCTTCCCATTCTGAACTTGAGCTTGCCCCCCAATAACAACAGCAAATATCTAGCTTGCCTTGCCCTGCACATGGGTGTAAATAAGGTACTATCCACTATCCAGTTGGTTTCCTATTTTTGTTCTGTTCTCTGTGTACCCCATATACACAGGAGGCCTATGCACCCTCATTGTGTCTGCTGTACACAACTTCACAGAGGGCCATATGCCCCACAGGAAATGCTTTCTGATAATAATGAAATGATTCTTTGTCATCCATGAGATGAATAAGGCCCTAAAGTAAACAAGGTAGCAAGCCTGAAAGATGGGCTCCTTCTCTGCCTGCCTCTGTTTCTCTCTGCCTGGTCAGTGACAGGCGGCCATGTGTACCAACCAGTCCCTGTGCCAGGCACTGAAGACCCAGAGATGAAGAAGCCTCAAGAACCCATCAGTGGAGTGGGGGAAACTGCCTGATAAGCAGAATTACACTACAGCCCGGGGCAAGCAGATTGTCTTTCAGATCTCTCCTCATCACCAGTCTCTTGTAGGCAGCACGCTGTCAGGACAGCAAGCCACCTTGCCACAGGGAGTGGTTCTAGGTCCCTTTTTAGGCCATGCAGACACACAGAGCTGAGATGTACTTCCACTTGAAACAGGTCTGGCCTGCACTCCTGTTCTTAGTCCAAGTCTCGGCTTCCTAAGAACTCAGCCGTATTTTCTGGTTGTGCTGATCCTTCCTCCGCAGTCCTTTGGAAGACACGGGGCCATTAAGGGCTGTATTTGCAGTGAGCACCAGAGGAGTGAACAGGGCCTGTTTATTCCAATTTCGTTTCTCAGTGGGTCCGTGGCACGCTGTGAGGGTGTTTTCAACGGGGAACACTGGTGCACAGCCTGCGGCTGATCAGAGAAGGAGTGGCAGAAGGCAGTACAGATGGACTCCTGAGAGGAGTGTTGCTCTGTGGAGACTTTTCGGAAAACTGTTCTCAGCCTCTTGAAATAGAGAGTTCATGCAGACACATGAGCTTTGAAGTGGAGGAGATTTTAAGGTTTGAAGTGGAGAAGGTTTTGTTTTGTTTCACTGTCTTGTTTTTCCATTCCAGCGGGCAGCTTGTGCAAGCGGAAGAGTCCCGAATGTGACAAAGACACCTCCATCTGCACTGACCTGGACGGCGTTGCCCTGTGCCAGTGCAAGTCGGGATACTTTCAGTTCAACAAGATGGACCACTCCTGCCGAGGTAGCCACAGCTTCGCCTGGGGTTCTGTGCCCAGTCCTGGGACTCTGCCTGGTGCTCTGTTTCTCTTTCTTGCTCTCTCTCTGTCTTTGCTTAGGCGTGACCATTCTAAACTGAGGGTAACTGGTTCTTGTTATTTTGCTCGTGGCAGGATTGAATACATTATCTCCTTGGAATAATAGCATTATCTTTGACTGGTGCATGCTGGTCTGGCCAATTAAATTCAAAGGAAGACAGAATGGAATGCCTGTGGTAGCAGTGCCTTTTCTTTTTTTTTCCATTTAAAGGAAGTTAGAAAAATTATTGTTTTAATTCCCAAAGCTTTATCTGTTGTCTGCTAATCTTTTAAAGTGGAAGTACAAGCGTGGGGTCAGGCTTATATCTTTCAGAGGCAGCTGAGGCCAGAGTCAGAGCCCGACTCTGCCTCACTGATCATGTATCACCTTGGGCAAGTCACTTTGTTTCTCTGAGCCTCGGTTTCCTCTCCTGAGAAATGGGTATGGTGATCCTCTATTGGATATTTATTCTAAGAGTTAAGGAAGGCAGTGGATATAGAGGCCCTTTGTAAGCTGTCAGCATCTGCTCTTGTATTTGGTCCAGGTTGTTGTTGAATTAATGAGTTCTGGTTTTAAAGGTCTCATGAAGTGCTTGAGAGCAGAAATCTAATTCTACTAACCTTTAAGGTGAGGCTTAAATTCATTTAGTTTCAGGGAAAAACTGCTCAAAGAATGTAGTCCAAGAATACTGCTTTAAAATAAAATTAATTCAGGTCCAAGAGCACCACGCACCCTGACTTATAAAAGGCTGCTGCAACTTGCAATCACCAGAAAAACTAACGATATAAAGGCCATCATGGATGGCCAGTTTTCCTACTCAGTCAACACCTTGCTGGTGACAGATGTCAATGGATGTTACTGGAATCTGAATAAAAATCACATACTGGGGCGAGGCGACATGCCACTTTTCTCCATCAGGACTTCCCATGAGAGGACTTGTTCATCACAGATAAAAATATATTTCAGGGCAGCACTCTTATCCTGAGCTTCAGACCCTCTGACTTTGTTAGGTTTGGATACAAAGTTCTTCTCAAGTGCGCATCATCAGCTCTCCAGGTGGGACCTGTGATGGGTTTTGAAGGGGAGGGCCAACTCTCTGTGTTGGGCCTAGGTCCTGATGTGTGACTAGGACACAGCATGTCTCAGTGCCGTGCCAGACTGCCACATTGCTACAAAGAGATGATGCTTCCTCATGCCATCTTATCTGCTTTAATGCAAAGTGTTCCTTGCACCTCTTAGAAATGGGGAGTTGAGCCGGGCGTGGTGACTCACGCCTATAATTTCAGCACTTTGGGAGGCCGAGGCGGGCAGATCACCTGAGATCGGGAGTTGGAGACCAGCCTGACCAACACAGAGAAACCCCGTCTCTACTAAAAATACAAAATTAGCTGGGTGTGATGACGCATGCCTGTAATCCCAGCTACTCGGGAAGCTGAGGCAGGAGAATCGCTTGAACCCGGGGAGTGGAGGTTGCAGTGAGCCGAAATCACACCATTGCACCACTGCAGCCTGGGCAACATCTGTCTCAAAAAAAAAAAAGAAAACAAATGAGGAGTTGAGCCCATCTTCACATGGGAAGGGGACTGGGCTAACATCCATGTGTGTTGGGGCGCTGTGCTGCTGACAGGGGATGACACAAGGTGGGCAGAGGTATGGGCATGGTGCTGTGGTGTTCCCTGTGAACAGTGTCTCAACAATGGCCCTATCACCTTTGCTTCTGGCTGGCCTGCGCCACTTCCTCTGTTTCCAAGTCAGCAATTTTGTAATTGTTTCAGTTACAGGCTAGCATTAACAATAGCTGTGAAAGATTTACCGAGTGTGCTGACACAGGCACCAGCAACCTTATGTTGACCAAGTGAGGACCCAAGAAGCAGCATAAGGAAACCTTGATTCACTTTTGGGCTTGTTGCTGAGACCCCGTGAAGCCCTTTCTCAGCAGTATTTGCACCATCAGGCCTCTGAGGAGTGGATTCCGGGCTTCTTGGGCCACAGCCCTTTAGGCTGGGTTCTGATGGGTTAGCAGTGACATCTTCTGGCCATCAGTGCTGGAGCACTGACACCTCAAATCAAGGCTCAATATAAATAGAGGATAGAGGAGTGTGTGTTTTCTAAATCACTGCAGTTCAAGCTATACATTAGCAAGTCTCTATGTTCTCTGCAGCGTGTGCGTGCACACACACACATGCACACACAACGTGCTTGGTGTCTCACAGAAAATGTCTTTGCCAGACTTTCAAAGCTACACATAAAATCAAAGTAGATATCCCTCTCATAGGTTTCTTAGCTTCCTTCCATCATGCAGGCATCATGATTAATTCTTTTTTTTTTTTCTTTTTAGAGACAAAGCCTTGCTCTGTCACTCAGGCTGGAGTGCAGTGGCGCAATCAAGTCTCACTGCAGCCTTGACCTCCTGGGCTCAAGTGATCCTCCCACCTCAGCCTCCCAAGTAGCTGGGACTACAGGTCCTTGCCACTATGTCCAGCTAATTTTTGTATTCTTTGTAGAGATGGGCTTTTGCCATGTTGCCGAGTCTGGTCTCAAACACCTAGGCTCAAGCAATCCACCCACTTCGGCCTCCCAAAGTGCTAGGATTACAGGCATGAGCCACCACACCTGGCAATGAATTCTCACAACCTGTTTGCATGTCTCTTTCTTTAATCCGACTGCCATTCCCTTGAGTGCTAGAACCATGTCCTGAGCAGTGCAGGGTTCAGCAAATGTCTGTTGAATGAACGAGTGGATGATAAGGCAGCAAATAAGATGGGAAAAGATTGACATGGCTAGATATAATTTCCTGCAAGGGAACAAAAGAGTTTTTAAGATGCCACTGTCAGCTGGGCACAGTGGCTCACGCCTATAATCCCAGCACTTTGGGAGGCTGAGGCGGGAGGATCATGAGGTCAGGAGTTCGAGGCCAGCCTGGCCAATATGGTGAAACCCTGTCTGTACTAAAAATACAAAAATTAGCTGGGCGTGGTGGTGCATGCCTGTAGTCCCAGCTACTCAGGAGGCTGAGGCAGAAGAATCGCTTGAACCCAGGAGGCGGAGGTTGCAGTGAGCTGAGATCCCGCCACTGCACTCCAGCCTGGGTGACAGAGCAAGACTCCGTCTCCAAAAAAAAAAAAAAAGATGCCACCATCTACTTATTTCTATTTTTAAGTCCAGAAGACTTGAATTCACTTGTGTCTTATGGCAATAGGGGAAGCCCAGTTTGGGAATATATACTAGCTGTTGCCAAATTCATTTCATCTTCAGTGCTCTGTGGTCAGAATACCTCTGGGGCAGGGGTCCCCAACCCTACCAGTTTGTGGTCTGTTAGGAACCGGGCTGCACAGCAGGAGGTGCAGTTAGGAACTGGGCTGCACAGCTGAGTTCCGCCTCCTGTCACATCAGCGGCAGCATTAGATTCTCATAGGAGTGTGGACCCTGTTGTGAACTGCACATGTGAGGGATCTAGGTTACGTGGTCCTTAGGAGAATCTAATGCCTGATGATCTGAGGTGGAACAGCTTCATTCCGAGACCATCTTCCCAAGACCACCCCCTTGCTGGTCCATGGAAAAAATGTCTTCCATGAAACCAGTCACTGGTGCCAAAAACGTGGGGACTGCTGCTCTAGGGTGAGTGAGATGAGAAGCTGGGTCCTAAGGAGCACAGGAGCACCTCACTGACAAGGTTTCCCCAGAACAGCGCCACGGCACAGTAGCACTCAACCACTGATGCGTAACGGAATGAGCCCATTTGAAATAGAGAAATATCATGACATCAGGGAGCCAGGTCACTTCTGATACAAAATGAAAACAGCCCAACCCATCAGCTCGCGGGCAGGACAACAGATGGACCTTACATCTGCCTGGATGACAGCCATGGAGTGGAGCACTTCCACCCAGCAGATGAAGTCTAATGTTGGGTGGGGAGATTGGATGTAAAAACATTTCCAGGAAGAAGTGTTCAAAATAGAAAAGGCTGGTGTGACATCAGCCTGCCTCAGTGCCGAGATGGGTGGGGAGGAGTCACTGAAGAAGCAAGCAATTTCCGGTGGCTGCCCCGCAGCGTTAGCCATCCATGGATCATCCAGGGTAGCTTCCCCCACTCCCACGTCCTGCTGCAGTATGAAGCAGAGGCATACACAGGAGGAGGGCCACCAGACATGGGAGAGGCAGGAGCACTCAGCTGCCTCCTTAGAGAAGGCCCCACCTGAGTGAGGCCAGCAGAGAACTCAGGTATCAAAGATTGGGAGATGGGGCCTCGTTACTCCTTCCCTAAACAGGATGCAATTATGCTCTACCTGTGGCATAAAGTGAAAGCACCTAGTGAAAACTGATTTGATAATATAAGATTTAAAAATATGTAAAAGGTAAATCAGGTTAAAGGGGAAATTAACGGACTGTTTTGTTGAGGCCAGAAGGAAAGTGAATATGCAGAATGAGACACAGCAGGGTCCTGCACGCTTGCTAAAAGAAGGCCCCTCACTTAAGTGCTGAGGTTCCCGGACACTGAGGCAAAAAGGGAAACATGACTTTGAAAAGAGTCAGGGTCCCTAAAATAAAGAGCAGCTGTTCAGGAGCATCCCTGTGTTTTAAAACAATGGGGCCAAGAGCAATTTCTCTGGGGCATCCTCGTCAAGAGGTTACTGAGTGGTATTGTAGCAAAGCAGTCCATGACATCCCCAAATAAATACCACAGGGACTTTCCCATGGCTGCCGCTTATAACAAAAAGCCCTTAATACAAGAGAATGTAGCTCAGGAAAAGTGATACTGTGGGGTCAAAACAGTGCTGTCCAGGTGCACAGCTCTCTAATATCTGCTGTGAGACACATTACAGATGATTTAGAACAGTGTTTTTGAAACTGTATTCCACAACACTCTAGTGATATGTTAATAGAAAGTCTGTAACAATAAAGCACATGCCAGAGGCATTCAGCTGCTAACATTAAGAAAGTAGGAGGAAGAAGATTCAACACATCGTCATGAGGAAAGTTATCACACACAAGGACGCTGGACCCAGCCCACAGGGCATCACTCGCCAGCCCCCTGCCCCTCCTCACCCCCAGCCATGCATGCTACTGGCCCCCATAACCCACCATTAGCACGTCTGCCATCCCATCAAGTATTGCAGCTCTACACTCTGTACCTTTTCTTATTCGGGATCTTTTATGCAATGTATCTCGTACATTAACCCTGTATCACATTTTTATCATTCCTTGCAGCAGAGAATTTGTCTGTGAGGCCATTTTTCATTGCTTTCATTCAAGCATGCATTATAGCTCATGGTGTTCTGTCATCTTATTGTTGTGTTGAAAATGTTCTGTGATCACATAAATTCAGGAACTGCTGATCCAGGGAAATGGCCAGGCTGCAACTGCTTCAGTGAAGTAGCGTTCCATGAGCTGCACCACCCGAGGGTTCAAAGTTCTGTTCTTGGGCAAGGTGCCGATTAGCACACATCTAGATATGTCCGAAATCCCCTACACAGACTCTAGGGTGAGCATTCTGTTACGAAAACCTGGGTACACACCAGGACTGTGCCCCAGAAGATGTCACCTACAGCTCCCCCCCTTCTCATGGAAGGGTGTCAGCAGGGCCATTATCAGGTTAAAGGTTTGATTTACATTAAAGAAGGGGAGCCATATGTCTTTGTGATGGAAGGAGTTTCCCCAGGGGACATTCTTCATCTATAGAGAACTTCTAAATGAATTGCATTGGTCATATAATAATTACAACTACATGCCTGACATGGTGGTTCACGCCTTTAATCCTAGTACTTTGGGAGGCCGAGGAGGGCGGATCATCTGAGGTCAGGAGTTTGAGCAGCCTGGCCAACATGGTGAAACCTCATCTCTACTAAAAATACAAAAATTAGCCAGGCTTTGTGGCGGGCCCCTGTAATCCCAGCTACTTGGGAGGCTGAGGCCGGAGAATCGTTTGAACCTGGGAGGTCGAGGTTGCAGTGAGCCAAGATAGTGCCACTGCACTCTAGCCTGGGCAACAAAGCTACTCATCTCAAAAAGTAATAATAATTACAACTACAAAACCCTGATTTAGTGGTTACTATGTACCAGACCTGTACTAAGCCATTGGATTGCCTTATTTCACTTAATCACCTCCAATAAAATACTTTTTATAGCTGGGAGATTGAGAGCCACAAAGAGGTTAAGAAAAGTTTTTTGATAAGGTTAAGATTTGAGGCTAGGCATGGCGAATCATGCCTGTAATCCCAGCACTTTGGGAGGCAGAGGCGGGCAGATCACTTTGAACTCAGGAGTTCGAGACAAGCCTGAGCAACAGGGTGAAACCCCATCTCTACTAAAAATATAAAAATTTGCTGGGCATGGTGGCACATGCCTGTAATCCCAGCTACTTGGGAGGCTGAGGCTGGAGAATCACTTGAACCCAGGAGGTGGAGGTTGCAGTGAGCCAAGATGGCACCACTGCACTCCAGCCTGGGTGACAGAGCGAGACTCTATCTCAGAAAAAAAAAAAAAAAGAGTTGTGCCGGCAACAGTATTTAAGTGAGGATCATTCCAAAGCAGTTTGCAGCCTTCTGGTACTAGAATAATCTTGTGGACTTTAGGGTGGCTGGCGTTTAATTAACTGGGAGTTTGGGAGAGGTAAATAGACACACTCATGCATTTTCCTTTTGTCTTTCAGCATGTGAAGATGGATATAGGCTTGAAAATGAAACCTGCATGAGGTAGGCTCCATGTTGATTTAGTCTAATTTTGTTACAAATCTTATTTAGATAAATTGCCTCACTTATTTCTTTTGAGATTGGAAACTAATTCTTGCCCTTTTTTCTTTCTTGGCTTGCAGTTGCCCATTTGGCCTTGGTGGTCTCAACTGTGGAAACCGTAAGTGTACAAAAGTGGACCATTATGCGTGGGCAGGGGCCTGGCCCTGTTGTTAGTGCACAGGTGTCAGTCTCCTCCCACTTCCCTCAGTTCACACCTGCTGTCTTCTTAGGTTCTATGCCAATGGCATGGGGGAAACAAAGAGAAAGGCCAGACGTGGTGGCTCACGCCTGTAATCCCAGCACTTTGGAAGATGGAGGCAGGAGGATCACTTGAGGCCAGGAGTTAGAGACCATTCTGGCCAACATGGTGAAAGCCCGTCTCTAGTAAAAATACAAAAATTAGCTGGGTGTGATGGCACATGCCTGTAATCCTAGCTACTTGGGAAGCTGAGGTGAGAGAATCGCTTGAACCTGGGAGGCGGAGGTTGCAGTGAGCCAAGATCACGCCACTGCACTTCAGCCTGGGTTACAGAGCGACACTTCGTTTTAAAAAAAAAAAAAAACCCAAAAAACAACAACAAAAAAAACAAAGAGAAAGACTTGACTGGTACTGTTCAGGGGCTCAAGGTCTGGGCTGGGCAGGGAGAGAAACACTCACTCCTAAATACCCCTGCTGTGTGCTGAGTGTTACTGTGATAACCAGACATGGGGTGTGGGACGGGGAGGCAGGGACTGTGCCCACAGAAGAATGAGAGGACACTCGACAGTACTTCTTGGAGGGAGTGGAATTAGAGGAACAGTAGGAAAGATTTAGACTGGCGGGTATGGGGGGAGGACATCCCAGGCAGAGGGAGCAACTTAGACAAAGGTCTTCAGGCAGCCATGGGCCCTTGGTGTTCTGGGGACAGTGTGTAAGTGGATGTGGCTGGAAGATAGGAAGATCGGAAGGCAGAAAGTAGAGGATTTGGATTGGCAAAGTATATGAGGTCTGAACTGTTGGGGTTGGGATCACCAGGCTGAGGAGTGTAGACTCTAATCAATAACTGTCAGGCAGCTGGCAAAAGTCTTAGAGCAGGAAAGCAGTTTGATCAAGGAAAGCAATTTGGGCTGCATTGAGAACAGACTGGACAGAGGAGAATGTGGGTGCAGCTTAGATATTTCCAGCATAGTCCCACCAGGCATGCTAGAGACACACTTAGGAGTCCTCTCTGCTCCAGGTGGAAGTAGAGGGTGGAACGCCAAGCAGCCAAGAGTGTTGGTGGGGACTGTGAGCGGGGCGTGTTTTGCACCTAATCCAGTTCTTGGAGAAAACCAGTTGTGATTCATTTAAGATTGCTTGCACTGACATTTTCTTATATTCATACATTAGAAATTGAAATTATCTGCAAAATTAAATTTGGGGATATAGCATATCATAGGATGTAATAGAAATACTAACAATGAAGATTTTAGTTTAGGACAGCTTTGGCTCTCATCCTACAGACAAATGTGCCAGTGGACTATTTTATAAGTTTACTAGAAGGAAAGTAGACATGATTTTATTTAATGTGTGTAAAAAAGCCCCCAGTTTCTATTCCCCAGTGGTATACCTTACATCTGATTTCTTCAGTGGTGTTTTCTTTGTTCGTAAAGGTTTTCTATTAGCAAGTTTCATTATTGACTTTCTTTGAGCATAACTAAAAAATAAAAATAATGAAATAAAAATCAAACACATTCAATGCTGAATATAAAACTGACATAAAACTCTCTTGGTGCACCCAGCATGGTGCTACTCTCAGGTCAGAGTCTAGAGACTTGGAATTACATATCCATTTAGGATTACTGATGACTTTGGTCATCTGATTTATCTTGACTGCAGACTAGCAAGAGGTTACAGAAGATAGCCTCAGAGAAAGACTAGGGAGGCAATTCTAAAAGCAATTATATTTATAGTCATATGAGTAGAGAGGGAGGGACTCACAGAATTGATATTTGTTTTTCTGTGTTTTTGAGATGGAGTCTTGTTCTGTCGCCAGGCTGGAGTTCAGTGGCACGATCTCGGCTCACTGCAACCTCCGCCTCCTGGGTTCAAGCGATTTTCTTGCCTCAGTCTCCCAAGTAGCTGGGACAACAGGTGTGCACCACCACACCTAGCTAATTTTTGTATTTTTAGTAGAGACGGGGTTTTACCATGTTGGCCAGGATGGTCCCGATCTCTTGACCTTGTAATCCGCCCACCTCGGCCTCCCAAAGTGCTGGGATTCCAGGCGTGAGCCACCGTGCCCGGCCGATGTTTGTTTTTTAAGTAGCAACCTGCAGCCCTGAGTGGTGTAGTAAACAACCCTGTACTCTTTAGAAGTCCCAGAGGACACTGTGGGGCCATAGAACCATGTGAGCACGGCCCTTCACTCCAATGGACCCCAGTCATCACGCTCTAAATGGTGTTTGGTGCACTCAGTTTAATAAGGCAAGGAAGTTATCATATTTTAGGCTTTTTTATTTAATAAATTAAAGAATAGTCAAAATTCTTTTTAGGTGTCAATGCTGAACAGGGTAGGCTTGAGTATTTTGGAGATTTGGCTTATGTAAAACAGTCTGGATGGCAGTACATGTCCTTTCTAAAGATCAGTATTTAGGCAAGCCAGTTTCTCAGCTGGGCTCAGGGTCTTTATGCTTTTGTGTTTAGGAGGATATCTATGCCTTAAAGGGGCTGCCTGGTCTACAGAGTGGTGTGTGTTCACTTTTTCGTGTGAATCTCATTTCTCACTTGAAACCAGAACAGAGTCACAGAGAGCTCGTAAACTGATCAGAGAATGGAGTAGCCTGTGCACAAAAATAGATAAGAAAATCTATAACGTTTCAATGTGGAAAAAGGAGGCTGAATAATCAGACAGAAATTTAAGATATTTGAGTCTTGTTTCCCAAATGCTGGAATACTAGAACTACATGGTATATATATATATATATATATATGTGTGTGTGTGTGTGTGTGTGTGTGTGTACACATATATAGTCTTTCAGAAGAGATGCTTCAAGGCTAAGAGTAGAGGTTACATCACAAGCCTGCGGACCTGATCCTAAGATATTGTTAGAAACAGAGAGGCTTGGCCGGGCGCTGTGGCTCACGCCTGTAATCTCAGCACTTTGGGAGGCCGAGGCGGGCGGATCACGAGGTCAGGAGATTGAGACCGTCCTGGCTAACACGGTGAAACCCTGTCTCTACTAAAAATACAAAAAATTAGCTGGGCATGGTGGCGAGCGCCTGTAGTTCCAGCTACTCAGGAGGCTGAGGCAGAATGGCGTGAACCTGGGGGGGCGGAGCTTGCAGTGAGCCGGGATAGCGCCATTGCACTCTGGCCCGGGCGACACAGCGAGACTCCGTCTCAAAAAAAAAAAAAAAAAGAAAAAAAGAAACAGAGAGGCTTAGCAGCAGGAGGCTCAAAGTGCAGCAGACCTGTATCACGTGTGCAAGAAACTCATCTGAATGCAATCCCACCTGATGGCAGAGAAAGAGAGAGCCAGTGAGACAGGTGAGAGGTGTGGAGGTGTGGCCACCCTGTTCACGTGTGCCCCTCGGGTGAGCCAGGGAGCAGGAGGTAAGAGATATGACCTGCTCAGTCCTCTTGGGGCCTCTCATCCCTGACAGGCCTCTCATAGAATGAGCTAGTACTTTAAACCTGCTTTGGTCAGACAGCTCCCTAGTTTTTATTTTTTATTTTTAGAGATGAGGTCTCTCTCTATTGCCCAGGCTGGAGTGCAGTGGCCTGATCATGGCTCACTGTAGCCTCAACCTCTCAGGCTCAAGCAATCCTCCCACGTTGGTCTCCCAAAGTGTTAGGATTACAGGCATGAGCTACCACACCTGACCCCTAAATAAGTTTTATTAGAAAATGCTTCATGTTTCTCAGCGAATGGAAGAGTGATCCATCTAGGGAACATGAGTCTATAAAGGGCTGCAGGAAAGGGGTGTGAGCTGCAGGGCATTATTCTAAGTGGCACTGGTAATTTTTTTCTCAGAGATTATTAAGTACTATACATGTTTGGGGATGCTGTTTCCCTATGTCATTGACTATTCTGTAAGTTCTTATGTTAGGAAAAAGTCAAGTCCTCTCCATTATTTTTGTGGGGTTCTGGAAGTAGCCAAGATTTCTCTCTGATTCCTCAGACTTCCTTTTCCTTCCCATTTGTCCAAGTCACTGTCACTGTGTCCAGCAGAGGGCAGAGGCCTGTCTGGATGGTTTGCTCCTGGCCACCTTTTAGAACCGGCCGCCTATCTTTAGTTTGGTAACTTTTGTTATTCTGTGATGGCATGTAAATATCACTTTATCATTTTGATATCTCTATTAGTTTCAGTGTTGCAAGACAGTTAATATTATAGTGGCTGATAATAAGTAGCACTTGCCACCTGCCTCTTTCTCTGAGGTCTGGGCCAAGACCTGGGTGTTGGTTAAGGAGTTGGGAATTCATCCCTCTCTATGGTGATAGCATATTGGGAGTCTGTGACTCATCACTCAACGTTTTGTGCCAAATAGCAGGGCTCTGACTGCCCACCGCTATTACTCCCATTATTGCCACCCAAGACAGCAGGGGCCTTCCTGGGGCTGTGACTCAGGCTGGATTTTTCGTAGGCAAGAAATGCTTCTTCTCTATGCAGGCTTTTTAGGGCACATGCTCTACCCAAGCCCAATGAGGCTGGGGAGGCTGGCTTTTTCCAGCCAAGCACACATCATCCAACTCCAGTAGATTTTGGCATTAGGCATAACCTATGTCCCACCCCTCAAAAGTTTCTGTGCACTTTCTACTTGTGCCCAGATTTCAGTCCTTGCTCCTTACAGAGAAACTGGAAAGGGCAAGGCACAGTGGCTCACGCCTGTAATCCCAGCACTTTGGGAGGCCGAGGCAGGAGAGTCACTTGAGGTCAGGAGTTCGAGACCAGACTGGCCAACCTGGTGAAACCTCATCTCTACTAAAAATACGAAAATTAGCTGGGCATGGTGGCACATGCCTGTAATCCCAGCTACGCGGGAGGCTGAGGCAGGATAATCGCTTGAACCTGGGAGGCAGAGGCTACAGTAAGCCGAGATCGCACTATTGCACTCCAGCCTGGGCGACAGAGCAAGACTGTCTCAAAAAATAAACGAATAAATATCTGGAAAGGGCAGGACAAACCTTTCTCTCAAATCTTCACCCCCTGCTGGAGCAGGGCCCCCACTCCTGGGCAGCGCAGGCCTGCACCTTTCTTATCACAGCTCTCCTTTTAATTTTTTAAACACGTAAAATATCTCTCTGTTTATATCCCAGATTCCACCAATTTCAACAGCAAATATCCCATTTGCCAGATGGCCCCAGAATTCTTTTAGGAATGTGTCATCAGATGTGTCTCTCACTCCCCTTGCCTCCACCCTTTTCTTAGGGCGTGCACATTTCCTCTGTTGCTGGAAGTTTACGTTGGTTCCTCCTCACAGTTTCATAATTGCTAAACAACTTTGGGTTGTTTAGCCTTTTTTCTATTTTTAAAATAAATTCCTTTTTTAAAAAATAACAATATAGCACATGCCCATTAATTTCCCCTATTTTAACCCAAATTAATTAGAAAATAAATAGAAGTTAAGGGAAGAGGAGAGTAAACAGTCTCACCACCCATTAAACACTATGTTCACCATGTTTCCTTACTACTAAGTGTGGGGCATAGGCCAGCAGGATCCATGTCACCTTGGAGCTTATTGGAAATGAGCAACTTCGGGCTCCCCACTCCAGACCCACTGAATCCGAATCTGAATTCTCACCAGGCCCATAAATTTAGTTAATATGCAGATTTATATGCATATTAAAGTTAGAGAAACACTGGTATTATATATTTTTCCAGAGATATATATGTGTATGTCTTTTTAACAGAAATTGGATCTCACTGAACATACTGTTCTGTAACCTGCTTTTAAACCTAGTAAACTGTGGAATGTTTTCACTTACGTAATTTTATAATGTTACGTTTGATAGTCCTGTGAAATTCTGCTCTATGGACCTACTGTAACTTCCTTAACCATTCCCCTCTTACTGCCTTTCAAAAGTCTCTTTTTAAAATATTCCTGTCATCTAAGCCATTCTTCTGTTTTTTGTTTGTTTTTGTTTTGTTTTTTGGTTGTTTTTTTGTTTTTTGGTTTTTTTTGAGACGGAGTTTCACTCTTGTTGCCCAGGCTGGAGTGCAGTAGTGCGATCTTGGCTCACTGCAACCTCTGCCTCCCGGGTTCAAGGGATTCTCCTACCTCAGCCTCCTGAGTAGCTGGAATTACAGGCCCCACCACCACACCTGGGTAACTTTTTGTATTTTTAGTAGAGGCAGGTTTTCATCATGTTGGCCAGGCTGGTATCGAACTCCTGAACTCAGGTGATCCACCTGCCTCAGCCTCCCAAAGCGCTGGGATTACAGGCATGAGCCACCGTGCCTGGCCCCATTTTTCTGTTTTATGGTTATTGTCATTTTGTGATCATAGAGCTCACATAATTCTCCTAGATTACTTTTTTCTGGCCACAGACATTTTTTTCCATCCCTCTTTCATATTTGCCACGTCTCTTTTGTAGGTCATCCTTTCATTCAAAGGGTCTGCACCTCTTCAGAGGAGACCCCTGCCTCACAGCCTCCCAGTGTAGCCAGCAGGGAGTGAGAGTCTGCCTTCCCCACTGACAGCCCTCTTCCCGTGAAGCCAGACATTCCGCTTAAATATCTTTCTACACTGTCTTCCCAGCCCAACCCACGGTCTGATGGCAGGTGTAGAAGGTGTCTTTCAGTTGTGTTCACCCAGTTGTTGCCTTGGGTTATAAAAGACTTAGACCAATGGAAATGCTGTGTGTTGGTGGAAGTCACTCAGAACAAACATCTGGGAAGACAGCACTAAACTGCTTAGGAGGAAGGAGGGAGAATCTATTAATATTACCCAGAAGGCAGCTGGAAGTCTCATTCAGCTAAAAGCAGTCATTTTACTCGGTCTTGACTGGCCTCCCTTCACTTCAAACGGGGTAAGGCAGGGATTGGGGAGAGGGAACTGTTGTTCTGTACCCAACCCTTCTGCTAGCGAGGACTATTTGGTGAGGTGGAAGGGATAGAGTTGTGTAAAACATCAGGAGAAAGTGACAATCATGTGGGGCACTGTCACAGTGGAGAGTGGTGGGCACCGGGTATGTTCACACCCTGGTTGTAGACTTGCAAAAGGTGAATTTCAGAAGGTGCGGGAGAAAATAAGAATGCTGTGAACAGAGATGGAGGAGGAATGGAAAGATTTTAAAGGCAAAATTTGTCTGAGTGCGGTGGCTCACACCTGTAATCCCAGCACTTTAGGAGGCCGAGGCGGGAGGATTGCTTGAGCCCAGAAATTTGAGACCAACCTGGGCAACATAGCGAGACCTCATCTCTAAAAAAAAAAAAAAAATCAGCCAGGCATGGTGGCATGCACTTAGTGTCCCAGCTGCTTGGGAAACTGAGGTGAGAGGATCACTTGAGCTGGGGGGTGAGGTTACAGTGAGATGTAATCATGCCACTACACTGCAGCCTGGGTGACAGAGCAAGACCCTGTCTCAAAAAAAAGATTAAAAAATAAAAGGCAAAATTCTAACCATAAATCACAAGTGAGCTCAGTGAGGAAAAATATGGAGAGAACTGAATGCATTGTAAGATAAAAACTAATGTGGCTACCTAGAAAATTCTGTAATGTGTTCAAGAATCTTAAAGGAAGGTTGGCTAAGGTTCTCCTGGAGTAAGTGAGCCCAGCTAGCCTAAGCGACAAAGAGAGTTTATTGGAAGAATCCTGGCATCAGGAGTGGAAGGAACCAAGGAAGTGGAGGAAGGAAGCTCAGCAGCTGGGGGTAGCGAGGAGCTTCCTGTGAGAGCACATGTTGCCATGACTGCATCCTCATGGCTCATCTCCACTCTTTGCCATGTATCTGTATGCAGGCTCTCCTTCCCAGACAACATGATGGGAAATAGGGTCACCAAACAGCTCTTGGTTGGGGGTGGGGAGGTCTCTAGCTCAGCAATTGTGAAAGTGATGGCCCTCTTTTCCCAAATTCCTGGGAAGTAACTAATTGATCCACTTTGGATGGTGGGTTTGTTCCAGGACCAGCCAGCTGTGTCCAGGGGATGGTGTTACATGTCCGAGTGTGCCCACCCCCGGCTGCAGATGGAAGGGGGTGCACAGTTTTCAGAAGGGGGGTGGCTAAGCAGATAGTCCAGTAGATCCCATCCAAATAAGCATATAAACATAAACAAATATGGCTCTGGGGAAAGGCTAAGGCCCAGAATGTGCTGTTGGTTTGATGAAAGATGCTAACTGTGATGACAGCAATGTCAAGCTGTGAAGAATAAGGGAAACATGGAGCCATTGCTTGAGAAAGACTGAAATGTCAACAAATGCCAAGAAGAAAGTAGGACTAAGAATTCCAAGCTCTTCATTCCAGAAATCTTTTTGCACTAAAAAGGATAGGACAAGCCTAAGATGACATTCACTGCCTCTGTCTCACCTAAATATTCAGAGCACCTCTAAAGCTAGGAAACACTTCAGTTGGCACTTATTCAAATCCATGCACTTCTACGTCATCATAAATCTAAAATCAGTACTTAACCCCAAAAGATCAGTTGTAGAATGATTTTAAGAAGATCTCTGGGGGATATTACAAGGTTACAGTGACATGGCTGCCAAAGAACTTCAAATGTACTCTTTAAAAAATATGTATATGACTGGGCGTAGTGGCTCACGCCTGTAATCCCAGCACTTTGGGAGGCCGAGGCAGGCGGATCATGAGGTCAGGAGTTTGAGACCAGCCTGGCCAACATGGTGAAACTCCATCTCTCTAAAAATACAAAAATTAGCTGAGCATGGTGGTTCATTCCTATAATCCCAGCTACTCAGCTGGCTGAGGAAGGAGAATCGCTTGAACCCGGGAGGCAGAGGTTGCAGTGAGCCAAGATCGTGCCACTGCACTCCAGCCTGGGCGACTCCGTCTCAAAAAGAAAAAAAAAAAATATGTATGTGTATATATACACAATGTCAAGATTTCAGGGAGGGGTGTGTGTGTGTGTGTGCATATGTAAATATGTAAATAAAATTTGGGAAATACAGAAAAGCACAAAGAAGAAAGCAAATTATCCACCATTACCCGAGGCAGTGCTAACTTGTGCAAACATTTTGGTGAGTTCCTCCCAGGCTCTTTCTCTCTGCTTGAGTGCTGGGTGGTCTCCTGGCTTTCAGCCCAGTGCTCTTTCCTCTCCTGTGTAATCTAAACCAGTGCTACCCACGGTCTGGTCCATTGGCTGGCAGCAGCACCATCCCGTAGAAGCCTCTAGAAGTGAGGTTCTGAGCCCCTGCCCAGTATGACTGAACCAAATTTCTTGGAGCAGGGACCAGGAATCTGGGTTTTAACAAGGCTTGTGGGTGACTGAGACGCAGACGGGAGTTTGAGAAGCCCTCGTCTATGCCAGTGCTACACAACTTGTGGTCTGCCGTGTGAACTGTTACTGGACCATGGCAAGATAACACAGAAGTTGAGAGTGAGCACTTAGAAATGTTTATATTAACTTGACATAACTGTGACATCCAAGCATGGGAGCCTTGGAAAAGAGTTTTATTATATTTCACAAATATATCAGTCCACAGTCGAGTTGACTGTGACTTTAAAAAAAAAAACTTTAAAAAAAAAAAAAAGGAAAAAGTGAAATTTATGATAGTTGGTGCCTGTGGGGACAGATGAGGGGAGGAGCACATGCGACTTTATTTTCTTTATTTAAAAAGAATATCCAGGTTGGGCGCAGTGGCTCACACCTGTAATCCCAGCACTTTGGGAGGCCAGGGTGAGAGGACCACTTGGGGCCAGGAGTTCAAGACCAGCCTGGACAACATAGTGATACCCTGTCCCTACAAAAACCAAAACTTAGTTGCGCCCGTGGTCCCAGCTGCTTGGCAGGCTGAGGCAGAAGGATTGCTTGAGCCCAGGAGTTGAAGGCTGTAGTGAACTGTGATTTTGCCACTGCACTCCAGTGTGGGCAACATAGTGAGACCTGTCTCAAAAAAAAAAAAGGATATCCAGAAGCACAAACAAGCAAGCAAAAACTGGTCCTCAGGCCAGGCGCTGTGGCTCACACCTGTAATCCCAGCACCGTGGGAGGCCGAGGTGAGCGGATCACTGGAGGCCAAGAGTTTGAGACCAGCCTGGCCAACATAGCGAAACCCCGTCTCTACTAAAAATGCCAAAAAATTAGCTGGGCATGGTGGCGCGTGCCTGTAATCACAGCTACTCAGGAGGTTGAGGCATGAGAATCGCTTGAACCTGGGAGGAAGAGGTTGCAGTGAGCCGAGATCACACCATTGCACTCCAGCCTGGGCAATGGAGCCAGAGTCTGTAAAAATAAAAAAAAAATAAAAAAACTGGTCCTTGACCACAGATAGTTTGAGAAGCACTGGTGTACACCATCTGTGTCTCTTTTTAGACAAAACTGCTTGTTTCCAACAGGAACCTGCTACAGCTGCAGCCACTTGAAAGGGTCACTTCTAAAATGGATGCTTACTTGTTTTGTTGGAAGTGAGAAAATTTAACTTGGTGTGGCAGGATAAGCAGGAGCCAGACTCTGGTCTTTAGGAAAAAAGGGAGCCACAGAGGGTTTTTTAAAGCAGGGAAATGGCAAGATCAGATTTGCTTTCTATAATAGTGAGTGGACAAGACTGGGCACAGGTGGATGCGTTGGGAAGCAGCTGCAGTTGTCCAGACAAGGGATGATGGTAGCTCAGAGCCATGTTGGGGGAGATGAAGAAAAGTGGATAAATTCAAGAGGTTTGTTTTCTGTCTTCACTTTTGTTAAAAAAGAAACTTTCAAATACATGTGTTGGGAGGTAAGGAAGAGAATGTGTTTATTCTGTGGCTTGGCTTTGTTTCCTGTGTATCTTAATACTGATGGCTTTTGTATCCTAATACTGATGGTTTTACGTAATAGCCAGGTTTCTGTGCTATTTATTTAAATAAAAGGATAGGAAAATTGTTGCATGGCTTGTATTTGCTCATAGTCTACCTGTTGCCTGTCTTCATTCTCAACCAGCACCTAGTGCTCTAGAAGCTTGGTGAGGAGGGGAGGAAGGTGTCAGCCCTGTACCTCATCCTTGTTTACATCCTTGTTTAGTAGAAACGGGGTTTCACCGTGTTAGCCAGGATGGTCTCAATCTCCTGACCTCGTGATCTGCCTGCCTCGGCCTCCCAAAGTGCTGGGATTACAGGCTCCAATCTTAATTTACTATCGAGAATCCGGCTACTGGTGTTTCATCCTGGATCCTACAACTAGAGAACACAATTTTCTTGTATTTCCACAACCAAAAAATCAATAGGAATATTTAATAAAATTTATTGAAGATATGATTTTACCAGAAATACATAGATATAAAAGCAATTAATTAAAGCTTTTAATATTGCTTTCTACATATGATATGTACTTGCTTAAATCACTGCTAATTTCTGGTAATTAAATTTGATGTGTATCTATTGAGGAGCTACTCAGTCCCTAGCATGGTTGATGCAGTGATTCCCAGACTCTGGACTTAACTGATCAGTAATGTTCCTTATAAAATTGCGGAGTCTAACCTAGGGTTGCCTCCTTTTTATTTTATCAAGTAAAAATCTAGAACTGAATCAAGAATTTTTAGGCCAGGCATGGTGGCTCAAGCCTGTAATCCCAGCACTTTGGGAGGCCGAGGCTGGTGGACCACCTGAGGTTAGGAGTTCGAGATCAGTCTGGCCAACATTGCGAAACCTCGTCTCTACTAAAAACACAAAAAAATTAGCAGGGCATGGTGGCACGTGTCTGTAATCCCAGCTACTCAGGAGGCTGAGGCAGAAGAATCGCTTGAACCCAGGAGGTGGAGGTTCAGTGAGCCGGGATCGCACCATTGCACTCCAGACTGGGCAACAAGAGCAAGACTCCGTCTCGGAAAAAAAAAGAAAAAAAAAAAGAATTTTTATATCTACTATCACCATTAACTCAAAAAATTAAACAACACCAAAGGGTGGGAAGTGACCAAGAAAAGATTCTGCGTTATCTCCATTACTTTTTTATTTATTTATTTATTTATTTATTTATTTATTTATTTATTTTTGAGACAGAGTCTCACTGTGTCACCCAGGCTGGAGTGCAGTGGTTTGATCTCGGCTCACAGCAACCTCGGTCTCCTGGACCCATCCATTACTTTAATAAAAATCAGATTTACTGAGGCATAATTTACACATGATAAAAGGCATCCATCTTAAGTGACAGAGAAAAGTAGAAAGGACAAAAATCTTAGATTATAGAACAGTTATCAAAGAGGAACAAATTAAGTTTTTAAAAAACTCATAACTCACATTTATTTTTCTCTTTCTACCGTGGGTTGGTGAAAATTTCATCGGGGCTGGTGCACAGGTAAAAGTTAGGAGCCACCATCCTAGGAGTGGCTTAAAAAAGGGAGCTTTTCGGCCGGGCGCGGTGGCTCACGCCTGTAATCCCAGAACTTTGGGAGGCCGAGGCAGGTGGATCAAGAGGTCAGGAGATTGAGACCATCCTGGCTAACACGGTGAAACCCTGTCTCTACTAAAAATACAAAAAATTAGCCGGGCCTGGTGGCACGCACCTGTAGTCCCAGCTACTTGGGAGGCCGAGGCAGGAGAATCGCTTGAACCCAGGAGGCGGAGGTTGCAGTGAGCTGAGATTGCACCACTGCACTCCAGCCTGGGCGACAGGGTGAGACTCTGTCTCAGAAAACAACAACAACAACAACAACAAAAAACTCTTCTCAATATGGAGAGCCTTGGAGATAGCCATTGAGGATCCCTTGCCAGAGAGTAGGAAGTTGTAGGCGAGGGCACCCCTCAAGGCAGGGTGGTGACTGTAGAGTCAGGGGAGACCATTCTTGAGAACTCACTCATTCCTTCATTACCTCCAGCCAATATGCTTTTTTGTTTGTTTTACGTTTAGCCTATCAGCTTATCACTGTGGTGATCGCAGCCGCGGGAGGTGGGCTCCTGCTCATCCTAGGCATCGCACTGATTGTTACCTGTTGCAGGTAAGTGATGAGAGTTCAGGTTCCAATCCCGTTCCTTTGCCTGTGCTATACAAGGGTCAGTTTGTATTCTTTTACAGGATACTTGAGATGGTTCACAATATTAAACCATAATGTGTGACTAACCCATTTTTAAAAAAGGAGAAAGGGAATTCACGATAGTTGGTGCCTGTGAGGAAAAAGAAGGGGAGTAAATGGAACTTCATTTTCTTTATTAGAAAAGAATAGCTGAAAGCACAAGCAGGAAATGAAAAAAGAAATAAACTGGGCTTCATCAGAATTAAAAACTTTTGTACTCCAAAGGACACTATCAAGAAAGTGAAAAGACAACCCATACTTGCAAATATGGGTTGCATGAGAAAATACTTGCAAATTATGTGTCTAATAAGGGACTTGTATCTAGAATATAGAAGGAACTCTTACAACTCAACAACCTAATTTTAAAACTGGACAAACACTTGAATAGACATTTCTTCAAAGAAGAGATACAGATGGCCAATAAGCACATTGTCTTAGTCCATTTTGTATTGCTGTAAAGGAATACCTGAGGCTGGGTATATTAGTCCATTTTTATACTGCTGATAAAGACATGCCCAAGACTGAGCAATCTGCAAAATAAAGAGGTTTAATGGACTTACAGTTCCAAGTGGCTGGGGAAGCCTCATAATCATGGTGGAAGGCAAAGAGGAGCAAGACATGTCTTACGTGAATGGCAGCAGGCAAAGAGAGAGCTTGTGCAGGGAAACTCCCCCGTATAGAACCATCAGATCTCATGAGACTCATTTACTATCATGAGAACAGCATGGGAAAGACCCACCCCCATGATTCAACCATCTCCCACCAGGTCCCTCCCACAACACGTGGGAATTCAAGATGAGATTTGGATGGGGACATAGCCGAACCATATCAATGGGTAGTTTCTAAAGAAAAAGGTTTATTTGGCTCACAATTCTGATGGCTGCAAATTTTGAGATTGGGCGTCTGTATCTGGTGAGGGCCTCAGGCTGCTTCCACTCCTGGAAGAAGATGAAGGGAGCCACCTGATGAGAAAGAAAGCAAGAGGTGGGGGGCTAGGGGAGAGGTATCAGGCTCTTTTGAACAACCAGCTTTCCCAGGAAAGGTATTAGTCCTTTCATGAGAGATCTGCCCTCATGGCCCAGACACCTCCCTGTAGGCCCCATCCCCCAGCACCTCCACACTGGGGATTAAATTTCAGCATGAGACTGGGTGGGGACAAACTATATCCCGATCGTGGCACACACGAAAAGATGGTCAACATCATTAGTCACCTAGGAAATGCAAATCGAAACCACCATGAGACACCACTTCACACCCACTAAGATGGCTATTAAAAAAAAAAAAAATAGAAAATAGCTGCTGGGCACAGTGGCTCAGCCTGTAATTCCAGCACTTTGGGAGTTCGAGGCGAGTGGATCACTTCAGATCAGGAGTTCAAGACCAGCCTGGCCAACATGGTGAAACCCTGTCTCCGCCAAAAATATAAAAAATTAGCTGGGTGTGGTGGTGCATGCCTGTAATCCCAGCTACTCGGGAGGCTGAGGCAGGAGAATTGCTTGAACCTGGGAGGCAGAGGTGCAGTGACCTGAGATCATGCCACTGCACTCCAGCCTGGGTGACAGAGCCAGACTCCGTCTCAAACAAAACAAAACAAAACAAAAAAACACCTAGAAAATAACAAGCATTGGTGAGGAAGTGGAAAAATCAGAATCCCCCATACACTGCTAGTGGGAATGTAAAATGGTGCAGCCGCTTTGAAAAAGTCTGAAAGTTAAAGACAGAGTTACCATTGGACCCAGCACTTCCACTCTTAGGTATATCAAGAGAAGTGAAAAGGTATACTCACACAAAAACTTCACGTCAATGTTCACAGCAACATTATTTACAATAGCCAAAAGGTGAAAACTCTACCAATGTTTGTCAATGGATAAACAAAATGTGATATATTTCTACAATGGAATATGATTCCGGCATAAAATGAATGAAGTACTGATACATACTATAACATGGGTGAACCCTGAAAATACGCTAAGTGAAACAAGCCAGTCCCAAAAGACCACCTACTGTATGATTCTATTTATATGACTTATCTGAAATAGGCAAATCTAATAGAGTTGGAAAGTAGATTAATGGTTGTCTAGGGCCAGAATGGTGGGGAAAAGGGGAGAATTGGAAGATGGTGGCTAAGGGGTATGGGGTTTCTTCTTGGGGTGATGAAACTGTTCTAAAATTGTGATGATGGTTGCACAAGTCTGAATATGCCAGAAACCATTAAATGAGTGAATCGCATGATATGTGAACTGTTTCTCAGTAAAGCTATGTACAGAAAGAGAAGCAGACAAAGAAAGATGAAATATTTTTGCAGTAGAGAAGTTGTAGCAGCAGTGTGGGATGCTTTGGGCTTCCTGGAAGCCACTGAGATTGGGTTTCTATTGGAAAAGGAAGAGAAAGGAGGAAATTGATTCCCCTTCTCTGTGATGATCTATTCAGATAAGGGAAAATTATGACCTCTGACTTAGATGATAATAATGGCAGGAATTATCTAGATGTAACAGATGGGGGGAACCTCCCAAAATAGCTAGTTATCTTTTCTACCGTTGACATAAAGGACATTTTAAGATATCCTCTGTCTTCAAAAAGGCAGCAGAGAGCAATGTGCCCTAACTGCCCAACTAGGAATGCAGCCCTTATGGTATAGCCTTTGCCTATTATTTTCCAAATTGCCATCAAATCATCAAAGATAAACCATATGAGTGGAAATAAACTTCAGGGGATGAGACTAGGAATGGTTACCTAGAGGGACATAACCTGAGCGCTCAAGGGACAGAAGCCTCATATTTGCTACGTGTTCTGTACTGTGTGGTGTACCCATTTGGGGAAGGAGCCTGTGCCTGCTGGCTCCTGAGAAGAGAAGGTAGTTGTGCATGAGTATGTCATTGTCTGAGCCCAGGTACCCCACCCACCAGGAAGCAACACAGTGGCAGGTCTGTTCCCAACTTCCACAAAGAGCCAGCACCTAAGCCACATGCTAGACATTTGGTTTTATGACCCTGAGTCACTTTTTGCCTTCCCTAGAAAACTTATTTGTACTTTAAGTGAGGTAGAAAGAAAAAGATTTCAGATTATCCTATCTGTGACAAATATAATTTAAAATTTCTGATCCTGGACCGGTTAGATAGGTGAAGAACACAGATTCCAACAATTTGCAGTCAGTGAGATCTCACGAGTAGCATTTCTGTAACCTGCTGAAATGAGAATTTGTACAGGTGTATAAATAGGTGGGCTTTTTCATAAACAAACCATTCTGTTTTTATGACTTGTGAAATATTTGCTTCGTGTAGTAGAAAGAGCACTGCCCGGAGAGTTGGAGGCCTGAATTCTAGTTCCACACCTTCTAGTAGCAAAAGGTGACCCAGAGGACAAGTCAGGTCTCTTTACTGAGTTGGAGCTGCCCCATCCTATCCCCAGAGCTCCTGATTCAGTCAATCTGGGGGAGACCCAGACTCTTCCCATGTAAATTCTGATGCTTGGGCAGCTTGGGATCCACTGGACTAGAATGAGTCTAAGGGCCCCTCTGGCTCCAGCATTCTGTGAATTTATGACCCTTGTTTTCCTGGCCACCCCCAAGACACAGTGATCTCTGTCCTGTAGAAGAGTCTAAATCTGCCCTATTGCTGCTGTTTTTGTCCCCCTACCCCCTGATAATCTGGCCCCTTTGGGTTGGAAGAATTTTTGTATCTTTTTTTGCACCTAACTGCATATTTACTTGTTGTAGGCAAATACCAAATAACAACAATAATAATACTACTCAGTGGGCAGCTACAAATAAATATAATGGTAGCTTTCAGTTGAATTTACATTATAAAATCATAGTTGGTGCTTTCACAGTATCACTTCTTTACGGAATTGAGCTTTACAAATATTTTTGTATCCCACAGAAAGAATAAAAATGACATAAGCAAACTCATCTTCAAAAGTGGAGATTTCCAAATGTCCCCGTATGCTGAATACCCCAAAAATCCTCGCTCACAAGAATGGGGCCGAGAAGCTATTGAAATGCATGAGAATGGAAGTACCAAAAACCTCCTCCAGATGACGGATGTGTACTACTCGGTGTGTATTCCTGTGTCAGGATGACCCCAGGGCCCCCGGTTCCTCTGAGAAGTAAAGGAATTCTGTTTTGTTGTAGTAAAAGCATTACAGTTAGTTAAGGGTTAAAGAGTAGTGGCATGAACCTCTGATTTACTAGTCAGTTTACCTACAGTCTATTTGCATGGTACTTATCAGTGTTGCTATTGAGGTATGAAGGATATTTCCATAAAGCACATTATATTTATGTGGTTGTAGCAGTAACCCTCTTGTTACTAAACTTGGCTTTTAAGTTATAGGAATGGAAACTGAAAGGTAGAGCAAGAATTTAGTGATATTTAGCCTTTGGCCCTTTCATTTTTATCTCCTGTCTGCCATGCTTACCTTGTGTGGTTAGGTACTTAAAACTAGAGGATTGGTGGCTGGGCACAGTGGCTCACACCTGTAATCCCAGCACTTTGGGAGGCCGAGGTGGGCAGATCTTGTGAGTCCAGGAGTTTGAGACCAGCCTGGGCAACATGGTGAAATCATGTCTCTACAGAAACCGTGCTCCTCTCTACAAAAAATTAGCCTGGCATGGTGGTGCTCGCCTGTGGTTCTAGCTACTTGAGAGGCTAAGATGGGAGGATTGCTTGAGTTGGGGAGGCAGAGGTTGCAGTGAGCCAAGATTGCACCACTGTACTCCAGCCTGGGCAACAGAGTGAGATCCTATCTCAAAATAATAATAATAATAATAATAGCAATAATAAACAACAACAACAAAAAAACCAACTAGGGGATGGGGAAAAGGTATAAAGAGAACAACAATTCAATGTCGTCCTCAACAAGCACTTCTCAGGTTTAGAATATTGTATACTCAGTAGGCCTTTAATAATTTGCTATGTCCAGCCTGGACTGCATCATTTGGAAAGGTAGGAGACAACCTTGAACCCTTGCTGCCTTTCTCCCATATTGAATTTAACCTGTGTCATATTCCTGTAAACTGCCCAGCTCATTTCATATCACTGTATCAACCATAAAGCAAACACGAACAGGCGTATCTGAGCTGAAAAGTAAACAGTTATCAGGTGACTTCTCGTGCCATGTGGAGCTGTCTGAGGAATAGCAATAAATGTGAAACCTTGCCCCATGGGGACTTAATGGTGTTAGACAATCTTGTGACAGAAACCATAATTCCTCTGGTTGCTGTGGCAATTGACCATGGGGATGCAGACTTTGGATGGGAGGGACAAGTTTGTTCATGCTAAGAAGCTGTTTATTTCCATGGACTCTTTTTGAAAAATTTGAACCTAGAGGAAGAACAAAAAGTTATAAATAAGGAAAAAAACATAAAGAAATACAAACTTAGCTCTAGCAAAAATATTCCCATTGATATTTCTGCATTGGGCTTTGTTTCTCTGTTTATCAGGAAAGTCCTTTTCCTTTACTAACTGAAGCTATAACTGAGCTGGTATTTTACCCTGGTGTGTCCCCACACTCTCATCCTTTACTCGGGACTCCTCAGCCCCAGCACGGTTCAATAACTAGCAACAAACAGGCCTGTGACATCATAGGAACCAACTTCACTGCATGTTTCCATGGTATTAAAGAGTTACCTTAAATAAACGTAGTCAAGAATGTAAATGAACCCCATTTTTATTCCAAAAATAGCAGGCTGGCCAGGCACAGTGGCTCATGCCGATAATCCCTGTAATCACTTTGGGAGGCCAAGATCGGGGGATTGCTTGACCCTAGGAGTTCAAGACCAGCCTGGGCAACATGGTGAGACCCTGTCTCTACAAATTTTTTTCTTTTTTTAATTAGCCAGGCATGGTGGTGGACCCCTGTACATCCAGCTACTCAGGAGGCTAAGGCAGGAGGATCACTTAAGCCCAGGAGGTCAAGGTTACAGTGAACAGTGTTTGTGCCATTGCACTCCAGGCTGGGCAATAGAGCAAGACCCTGTCTCAAAAAAAAAAAAAAAAAGGCCGGGCGCAGTGGCTCACGCCTATAATCCCAGCACTTTGGGAGGCCAAGGCAGGTGGATCACAAGGTCAAGAGATCGAGACCATTCTGGCTAACATGGTGAAACCACGTCTCTACTAAAAATACAAAAATTAGCTGGGCTTGGTAGCATGCACCTGTAGTCCCAGCTACTCGGGAGGTTGAGGCAGGAGAGTACCTCAAACCCAGGAGGCAGGGGTTGCAATGAGCCGAGATTGTGCCACTGCACTCCGGCCTGGCGACAGAGTGAGACTCCATCTAAAAAAAGAAAGAAAAAGAAAAAGAAAAGAAAAGAAAGAAAGAGAGGGAAAGGTAAAAAAAGAAAAAGAAAGAAAGGGAAAGGAGAAAGGAAAGGAAGGAGGAAAAGAAAAAGAAAGAAGGAAAAAAATAGCTGGCTGAGCAGTCTGTAGAGGCAGAGCCTAAGCTTAGGGCATGAAGCTGTCACCTGGGTAGACAAGCTGTTCCACACAGTGGGCTCAGGTGTCGTCCAGGTGATTCCCACATTGGGCTCTCCTGCAACTTATTTATGATACATAGTAGCTAGTATTTTATTTCTGCCAAGAAATAATTTACCTTTGTTGCTACTTTGAAGGCCTCCTCAAAGTAGCCCCTCTTATTCCCAGGGAGCCTTTTTTTGAGATCCAACTGGTCACTTGAGGATTGCTGTTGGCCTCCTGGTTTGGGGTCCTAACTCCACCTGCAACTAGATGGTCGTAGGACCTTATAAAGGTCAGTTCCTCCGTTTGCATCAGTTGCCTTCTGCATGGTTGCTGGGACAGGAAGGATTAAAGTGGGTTGTGCTCCAGAGAGAAAGATACTTTAAAAAAATTAGAAATAATTGGTAGAACCACATCATACAGGATAAACCCAGATCTTTTCTTACATTGGTCTAAAATCATTGGGATTTAACACTGCAATTTAAACCCAAGAATGATAAATTGACTTTTCTTCTTTTCTCTTTGGCAACCAGCCTACAAGTGTAAGGAATCCAGAACTTGAACGAAACGGACTCTACCCGGCCTACACTGGACTGCCAGGATCACGGCATTCTTGCATTTTCCCCGGACAGTATAACCCGTCTTTCATCAGTGATGAAAGCAGAAGAAGAGACTACTTTTAAGTCCAGGAGAGAGAGGGACTCATTGCTCTGAGCCAGTCACCTGGGACCTCTGCTCAGAGGACCGCACCAGGAGGCTGCGCCCAGGATTTGTCGGGAGCCACGCTGAGTGGCAAGCAGGAAGAGGGACAGGCATGCGGGGCGTGACCACAGTGGAGGAGACAGGTGGATGTGGAACCACAGGCTGCTCATTCAGCACCTTTGTTGTTACTGTGAACGTGAATGTGGGCCAGTATCAAGAGAGTCTCTCTGAGTGACTGCACCATGGCACTGGCACCAGGGCGACTATTAGCCAGGGCAGACCACTAGACTTCAGTGCAGGGACCTGGTTTTCCCTTCGTTTGCACTTTAGTAAATTGGGTGGGAGGTTTCCTTTTGGATCTGTTTTGAGACTGTTCCAGAAAGAAGGCTTCCTTTCCCGAGACACTTCCATAGGCAGCAATTTGGTGATTCATTTGCAGCAAAATACTGGCTTGTTAATTATTTTCCTGCCCAGCGCCTGCGTGCTAAACAACAGATGAGGATGAGCGTACCACTGAAGTCTGAAGATGTCGCCATTGAACGGACAGTGTTTTCATATGTTTCTAGGTTGTCTTATGCTACAGTTTCCAAGCCAGCCCCCACAGTGAGGAAATGTGTGAGGCACCGCACACAACTGCAATGTGTTTTTTAAGTCAAGGTGACACATGTATTTAAGATTTTTTTTTTAAATCTCTTTGCAGTTAAATCTCACTTTTTCAAACAAGCCTGGATCAGGGCAAAACAACTTATATTTGGTTTTAGCTGGAGGCTCAGCAGGCAGATTGCAGGCAGGGGGGCACTTTTCATCCATGAGGGCCCAGCCTGGGGCCTGGGACTCGATCACCATTGTGGAGGCCAGAGGCAGCTGCGTATGGAGGAGAAATGTCAAACTGAACGCAGGTTTCACCACTCTAGGAAAGCAGCTTGTTGAGCCCCTGCAGCTGGATGTGGTTAGAGGGATGGGCTGAATAGGCAGGTTAGATTTCCTGCATCAACAGTGCTTTGGGAAGCTGTGTGGATTCCTGAGGAAGAACAGGGAGCCGAGATGGAGCCACACATGAGTTTGCTCACCGGCTACTGCAGCACTTTGTACCCAGAATCTCATGTCCACAAACCCCATGTAAACTTTCAACCACTCAAAGCTGTTTATTCGGCTGAAGAAATAACTTTTTTTTCTCACCCAGTCATTTGTACCTCTTCATATGGCTATGTCGCACCCTCCAGAAACGTGGTTATACTTCCAGTCAGTGTGGGAGAACTGAAGACTTCCGGTTGGTCGAGGAACTGAGGGTTGACCTTCGGGAAGGAAGTTCCACTCATCTTATTTATTATGCCTGTGATGTGGGTCCTGCCAGGGAGACATCCAGTACTCGGTGTCTTTAATTGCCACCTGGGGAACTGTGTTTATTGGCCTTCTTTGGGGCATCCTGGTTTTGGATGAAGTGAGGGGAATACAGAGGTAAAAGAATTGTCTCCACCCTGAAGCGGGGAGTCCCGCTTCACATTTCTGGAAATGGTGCAGCCACTGGGGACAGTTCTGCCCCGGGCATGGTTGTTTCTTCAAGGTCCTCTAAATATAATCCCTATTCTTACATAATCCTTGGCCCTGATGGTTTTAAGCAAGAACTCCTGTGTCCCATGGTCTCCACCACTCACCATCACCCTGCTGTAGCAAGAGTCCTAGTCAGGGGAGGTGCATTTTAGTAGTTACATTGCACTTATCCATGAGATAAATAAAAGGAGAACTGTTTTTATCAGTGGAGGCTAACCTAAAATTTCAAAGTGTCGCCTTTTTGAAATCTTGGGCCTCTCTCTCTGTAGAACCAATGGCCCTTTGTGGCTCACGGCCTCGCACCTAACTGGAGAGTTCTGAGCTCCTGCAGCTCACCTGAGCCCACAGACTAGGCTTCTTGGCTCCTTCCGCAGCATGCCTGCTCACCCCCAGAACCCGCAGCTGTGGGAAGAGCCATGTAGGGAGGCTATTCCCAGGCATACACTTCCACTGCCTTCAGCTGACGTCACAGCTGACAAATCATCTCCTCTATCGGAGCCAGAAGACTTCAGCTCCACAAAATGAAGTGTTCTGTCCTGAAAACATTCTTGGGAAGAATCCCAACATCGAGAAAACGGTGTCCTGTGAGTTCCAACAATGCTTCTTGTTCATGGGTTTCTTCCGTATGGAGTGGATTAAGAGTGTTTTATTTTGTTGTTCTAACTGAGAAAAAAAGGAGGCACCCACAAGGTTGAGGTCACACAGTCTCCACAGTTTCCAGGAGGCGTTTGGGGGTGGGGAAGGCACCTCCAGAGCATGAGGCTCTAAGGGGACATGAGTAAAGCATGTCTGTGACCCAGTGAGGAAGGGAGAGGCCAGCTGCACTCCTGCACGGGGTTCCTAGCTGCAGAAGGGTCCCGCCTAGGCCGAGGGGAAACACCTGATAGCAGAAGAGGCCTGGATGCACACCTGGCACGCCGAGGCTCTCCGCCCAGACACAGTGCTCCATGTCAGCCCCTGCACCTGGGGTGTGTGATTCACGTGCACAGATGCCACAATCCTGCACCAATATCCCACAGATGGGGGAAGGTGAGAGGAAGGGGCAAGTGATGTGTAACTGCTCAAGAGATGCTTAAACCTCCATAGAGAGGAGCCGGGCGCAGGGGCATCTGTGTGTCCCGTCACACACTGCAGCAGGGAAGGGTGGCTGGCTGGCTCCCTGGCATCAGTGGTTTGGTTTAAGCTCCAGAGGGTCTTATTGCCATTGTCTTTTCCTCTGCCCCTTGAGCCAGCCTAAGGCCCTGGAGTCTGTTTCTTTAGGCGGATGAACTGACATGCTCCTACCATGACCAGGCTCTGGGCAAGGCTCCTCACAGTATCCTTGAGAGGTGGGCATGGAAGTGCCCATTTCTCAGGTACAGAAACCTTCAGAGAGGATAAATAGCTTGCCCTGTAGAAGCAGGACTGAAACCCTTGTCTGCCTGACTCCCCCAGCTACTCTGCCCACTGTAGCCCCCTGCCTTACTGTCCTGGCACACCCCTCACCATCCTGTATACCTTAAATATCAAAGAGGGCAAGAGAGAAAGGGCTTTAAAGATAAGTTATTTTTTTAAGGAACCTTAATATTATTTTTAAGAAGTAACCAAATTAGTGACGTGAAATGCAAAAAAAAAAAAAAAAAAATGCTGACTACCCTTTTGAAAATGTGCTTTCAGATTGTTTTTTATATGTAATTCTTAGACACTTGTCATTAAGAAAATAGTGGCTGGCTTGTGCTCAGCAAGAAGCACACTGGCACGTGGCTTTGGTATAGGAAGTGGAAGGCAAGGACCTGGGTTTCTGACAAGTGCAGTCAGACATACACATCCATCTGAGAGCTGCTTGCCTTGTTCCCGTGGTAAGGCCATGGCTCCCACATACTGGAAGCATATTTTTGTGAACTGTTTTCAGAATTGGGAACATATTCAGTGGAATGTCTTAAACGCTGACACATCTTCCTCCTTTGAGGGGAAGTATATTTTCAGAAGCAGCTAAGACATTTAGAGCCAAAATTGCTGATAGGTGGTTCAGTCAAGTTGGCTGATGGCATCTGAGGTCAAAAACTAAGATGTGACGATTGAGTTCTTAAAGAGGTAACTCTTAAAGTGGGCCCAAGGGAGAAGGCAGCATCTTTGGACTCCTAGGCTGGATGGCTACCCAAGAATATGCCATTGAAGGATGACACCTATTCAGATGTGAAAGTTCCCAGAGCAGGCACCTTTGGGTCACCCACCACGTGTGGCTTTTTGGTGCCTGCATGAAACTGTGTTGCCCCCTGGTGAGATGCCCGGGTGTCCTGTAAGCCGATTTAACTCTGCCTGAGGAAGAGGAGCTGTCCACTCCAGTTGCCCTTGGCTAAGTTTAGCCTAACACACAGGGTTTTGACCCATAGTTCTAAAATACACAAATTTTGAGACTACAGCACTTCTTTGGAAAGAGGAAGAATGCAAAGTTCAGTATTTCAATACTTTGTATTTTACTTGAAATTACCCTTAGTAGCATCTTTTTTTTCCTGTCTGAAAGCTTTTGTGTGGATGAGAAGGGACATTTCATTTCCTCCCTTAACAAAGTGTCATTCTGAGGTTCTCATGTGTGTTTTTGGAAATAGAGATACTGGTTTTGTAGAGTTTGCCTTTGGGTATGTTTTCTTTTTTTCTTAAATCTCCAAGGAAGAGAACTGACTAAAATAGTAGGAACATGAAAGTATTAAATGCCAATTAATTTGTTGTAGTAAAGTATCTTCATTAGCGTTATACTCCATCATATCTGGTGTAAACTGCTCACAGAAAACCCTATGAAACCAAAGGGGGACCATTCAGGTCTAAAAAGCGACAGGTCCGAGACTGGGTCTGTCACCTGGGCATTTTCAAAGAGGACATTTTGAAGAATTTGCATATTCAGATTTTTAAAATGCACTTAACATACTTCATTACAGATTTCTTGGGTAGGGAGGATGGGATAGGCCAGGGATGGGATGGAGTCAGTTCTGCCTGGGAAACTAATCCGAATCATTTACCTTTCTGTATTAACCTTGGCCTGTCCTAAAAAGAGAACGACTGTTTCATCATGAGTTGCTCTGAGTTTTGTTAATGTTTGTGTTGGTGGATTGACGGTTAAATGAAGCATTTAGCTGGAATATGAACTTTGGGAGTTTTCATGTTGTCCTGGATTTCTCTTTGTAAACCTTTAAACCTTAGCCCCTGGTTGATTGTGTTAAACCCATTATGAGAATGTTATTTAAAGTTGTATTATAATTGCAACCTCCACTAATTATTCAGTACTGTAGCAGCAAAGTATTATTTGTAAGAATTTGGTTATTTTTATACTTATATCCACTCTAAGTCTGGCGTTCTAGTCAGTAAAATGATGCAATAAAATTAATATCATTTTCATTGTGTGTTTTCCTCTTAATAACAAGAAAACCAGACCAGAATGCAACAAGTTACCAGTTGTACAGTGAGCTTCCACATGGCAAATGTGGAAGCTGAGTCATTTCTGTATTCTCAGTGCCCAGCACTGGGGAGGTACACTTTTGATGATGGATGGATGGACAAACAGACCTAAATGGCAGGAAGCCAAACTTAGATACAGCACCTGCTTTTGTTTATGTGAATTGGAGACCATAAGTGACCAATTCAGATACTTACAATTCCCTCCTCAATGTCTCCCACTATCCCTTCCATGCCAACTCTTCATGTGTTGGAGGAGAGGGGAAAGTAAGCCTATGTGTGCTCTGGTGGGGAGAATCTGCAGAACTTTAAGATGGTGGGCCATGGATCTTACACTCATGGTGGCCGAGGGATGTGGCTGCCTGTTTAGGTATACATTCGTGAATGAATTGCTTCCTTGGATGCCTTGCAGGTCAGGGATGATGAGCCTCTCATATGCTTTATGGCAAAAACCTTGGCACTGGGGGAGGCCAATAATGGCAGTTTGGGGCATGAAGGTGACCTTTTGGCAGGTTGGATCAGGGCTACGGCCTTCCAAATGAATGGAGGTGGCCAGTAGCACTCTCCTCTCCTGAGCCAGCCCCACCCACTCAGCTCTCCCTTCCCCACAGCTCACAATCCCAACTGAGGTCTGAGCAGGAACCCAGGACTGACCCCTTTCTTGTTCCCACTCAGCTTAGGCAGACTCATAAACATCGCATCATTTCCAGACCTTCTCTCCCCTCATACTAATTTTTGTTTGTATTTTATTTTTAAATTGTGTATATTTAAGGTATACAACATGATGTTTTGAAATACACAGTGAAATAGCTATTATAGTCAAGCAAATTATTGTATCTATCATCTCATTGATACGTGTGTCTGTGTGTGTGGTAAGAGCGCCTAAAATCTATTCTCTTAGCAAATGTTCAGTATACAACACAGTATTACTAACTATGGTACTCTGACCGTACATTACATCTCCAGGCTGATTCATCTTACATAAGTGCAAGTATGTACCCTTTGATCTATTTCTCCCCATTTCTGTGCCCTCCCACCGTTCTACTCTCTGTTTCTATGAGTTCAACTTTTTTTAGATTCCACATGTAAGTGAGATCATTCAGTGTTTGTCTTTCTGTGCCTGGCTGATTTCACTTAGCATAATGTCCTCCAGGTTCCTTGTTGCCCACATTGTTGCAAATGGCAGGATCTCTGTTTTTAATACTGAATAATATTCCACATGTGGTAATACGCAACACAGTTTCTTTATCCATTCATCTGTTGATGGGTACTTAGGTTGTTTCTATGTTTTGGCTATTGTGAATAATGCTGCACCCTGGTGATTGTTTTGAACCTAAAATGGAAGGAACTTCTGTGCATGATAAGCTAGCCTGAGTGCTTTATCCTACTTGTGCCACTGACCTGGCAACACAGAACCTCCACCTCAGGCTTTGATTACCAGCAAGTAAAGAGCTAAAAAGTGATTTTAAACTGTTGGGCTAAACCTCAGCAATGTGCAATGAGCCATTTTCCAGTTGCTTGGGAAGTAAAAGGTAAGGGGCACAATGCATAGATCATACAGGTCAGAGTCCTCTCCCGTACTGGATATTGAACGGCTGTGGCAGCTTTCAGTTCCTAGGGCTGGATTGTGGTAGCCACTTGGCACAGTGAGCAGGAACTTCAGGTCAGAAAGATAAAAAGATGCCAGGAGTAAAGGTATTTATGTCGATGTGTGTTGACCCCATAAATACTTGCAGCACCATCAGCTGGTACAAGACACTCTCCAGCCATTTTGTGGCTGTTTTCCCAGATCATGATGTCAGGCCTAAGAGGCTGCCCAGTTCTCTGAGCCTCAGTGTCCTGATCAGTAAAGTGGGGATAATAATCATTGCCTCACAAAGTTCTCATGAGGGTTAAAGGGGAGAACTCACAGGAAAACACTATGAGTGTTTCCTATGATTTTAATATAAATCAACATAAATATCTTTACCCCTGGGATCTTTTTATCTTTCTGACCTGAAGTTCCTGCTCTCTGTGCCAAGTGGCTACCACAATCCAGCCCTAGGAATTGAAAACTGTGAAGAAATAGCACATTGGTTCTCTTCAATAGGTCCCTCCTGTTACCAAAAGAAGGAAAGATGCCACTGTGGGAAGCCGAGGTGGGAGAATCGCTTGAAGCCAGGAGTTCAAGACCAGCCTGGACAACAAAGCAAGACTCTGTCTCTACAAATTTTTTTTTTTTAAATTAGCCAGGCATGGCGGCTCATGCCTGTAGTCTCAGCTACTCAGGAGTCTGAGGCTGGAGGATCGCTTGAGTCCAGGAGTTCAAGGCTGCAGTGAGTTAGGATCAAGCCACTGTACTCCAGCTTGGGTGACAGGGTAAGACACCACTACCGCCAACAAAACAATAGCAACCACAAAATAGAGGAAAGACAGTTGCAGAATTGAATGTCATCTCCATACTGATATGCTAGTAACTCCCCCTGAAGACCTTGGACTTGTGGTCAAAATGTTCTAATATTTCCCCTTTACTCCTTTTCCAACCTGTTTCCTATATCATCAAGGGATTAATGGGCTCAAAATCATAAATCCTGTGGGGATAGGAACCAATCCTATCCTTGTTAAATATTATCTGCTCAGTGCCTGGCACCTAGCAGGCATTCACTAAAACAAAGAATGAGTAAGTGGGCAGACCAATCAGCCAACAAAATAAATAAATCATGGCAATTAAAGATTCTGGAGCTCTAGCTCCTCTAGTAGCTGCAGGCTGATGACTGGCTGACAGTGGAAAAATATATAGCTGTGACATATCACTGAACAGGAGCACTTAGCAAAGATCTCTTGTAGCAAAGCCCAGGCAAACATCTGTGGAGGAAACACTTTTAAAACACACTAGAAAGTCCTTTCCCTGGGGAATTGTGGAACTGTGCAATAGAATCTCACTCAGCAATTTAAAGGAACAAAGTACTACAACAGGCAATGACAGATGAGTCTCAAAGTGTTGTGCTAAGTGAAAAAAGCTGGACACAAAAAGTCTCAAAGCATTGTGCTAAGTGAAAAAAGCTGGACACAAAAAGTCTCAAAGCAATATGCTAAGTGAAAAAAGCTAGACACAAAAAGGACACAAAAGGCTTTTCCATTTACATTACATTTGAGAAAAGATAAAACTATAGGAACAGGACACAGATGAGTGGTTGCCTGGAGGTGGAGGAGATTTCTGCTATTTACCAAATACGTCTTGCTTTCTTCCTTCCAGGCGCATGGTAGGATGTACTTTTCTACCCTTTTGAAATGTAGCCACATGAGTTGCTTTGACCAAAGAAATGTAGATGGGAGTGAAATGTGTCACTTCTGGGAAGATACATTTTTTTTTTTTTTGAGATGGAGTCTCACTCTGTTGCCCAGGCTGGAGTGCAATGGCATGATCTTGGCTCACTGCAACCTCTGCCTTTTAGGTTCAAGCAATTCTCCTGCCTCAGCCTCCTGAGTAGCTGGGAATACAGGCATACGCCACCATGCCTGGCTAATTTTTTTGTATTTTTTTAGTAGAGATGGGGTTTCACCACATTGGCCAGACTGATCTCGAACTCCTGACCCTGTGATCCACATGCCTCAGCCTCCCAAAGTGCTGGGATTACAGGCATGATCCACTGCGCCCGGCCCCAGGAAGATGTTTTAAGAGCCCGTGTATGATGTTCACTTCTCTAGTCTCAGCAATCATGGAAATATGTGCTGGGATGGAGCTGTTGGTGGCCTGGGACACTGACCGCCTCAAATGAACATAGTGCCTTGCTGACCAGAGTTGGACTGGTATGAGAAATAAATGTTGTTATGTTAAGGTACTGAGACTTAGGCATCACTTGACTTACTGCAGCATTACTTAGCTGGAGTGCTGATGAGTACAGCTCTCCAAAAGTAACCCTATTACTACAGTTCATGCAAATTGTTTGATTCCTAGTTCAATGCCATGGGACATTTATGTTACCTTTTTTTTTTTTTTTTTTTTTTTTTTTGAGACAGATGATTTTTTTTTTTGAGACGAGGTCTTATTATATTGCCCAGGATGAAGTGCAGTAGTACAATCACAGCTTGCTGTAGCCTCGAACTCGGCCCAAGCAATTCTCCCATCCCACCACAGCCTCCTGAGTAGCTTAGACTACAGGCGTGAGCCACCATACCCAGCTAATTTAAAAATAATTATAGAGATAAGATCTTGCCATATTGCCCAGGCTGGTCTTGAACTCCTGGCCTCAAGCAATCCACCTGCCTTGGCCTCCCGAAGTGTTGAGATTACAGGCATGAACCACCATGCCCAGCCCCATTTATGATTATCATTAACATTCTTCAACAAAGTTGTTTTAATTTGTTTTTAAAAATTTAAATCAGAAGCACTTATTGTGTGTCTAATATTTGCCAAAGCTGCTGTGTGAAGCTTTGTGATATGAGTGTGCTGTTGAACCAGAAGGACCTAGATTTGAAACTCACCTCTACTGCAGTGAGACCTTGATGAATATCTTAACCACTCCAGTCATTTGTTTCCTCCTCTATAACATAGAAGCAATGAACTAGAGAATTTAGACGTATGCTGAGGGATTGAATGATAGGATGTCTCTAAATTGTGTCTAAACGATAGGGTGCATCTGAGGGTCTGGGCCTGAAAGGAAGCAGGTGTGAGGAACTGTGTATTAGGCTCTGTGGCAGGCATACTTGAAGCAGCTGTCTTGTTACAGAACAGAAAAAACTAAAACATTAATTCCTCTGCCCTTCCCTCCTGCTTACTTCACGGTTGTGCAAGTAAGGCATTATCACTGTGATACTATTATCATCAATAAGATAAGAGCAGCTGGGCATGGTGGCTCACACCTGTAATCCCAGCAGTTTGGGAGGCCCAGATGGGAAGTTCGCTTGAGCCCAGGAATTCGAGACCACCCTGGCCAACATGGCAAAACCTTGTCTCTACAAAAAAATACAAAACTTAGTCAGGCATGGTGGTGTGTGCATGTAGTTCCAGCTACTCAGGAGGCTGAGGTGGGAGAATCGCTTGAGCCCAGGAGGCGGAGGTTGTAGTGAGCCAAGATCATGCCACTGCACTCCAGCCTGGGCAACAGTCAGTCCCTGTCTTAAAAAAAAAAAAAGACAAAAGCTGTATTGGACAATACATCACAATTTGATAATCCATGTAGAACTCGATCTATATTTAGCCTGGTGATAATTAAGTTAATCAGGAGCAAGGTCCAAGTTTCCTGCCTGTCCATACCCACCACTCCCAATGTGGAGTCCCTTGTCCCTCATTTCCTTTCTGGTTGCTTCACATGTTGCACTGAGGCTAATTCCTTTATAAAGATCAAGGGACAGATTATAGCCATCTTAGCCTGTAAAATAGGAGCAGCTTTCCCTTTAATCAAAGTATCAGAATGTGAGACCTGGACAACTTTTTAGTGAGGTCATGTGGGCCAGGGCTTTAAAAATCCTGCTTATATATATAGAGAGAGAGATGCTGATTCAGGAAGACGTTATCGCTGGGCAGAGGCCAAATGCATAAAATAAGTAGGGAGATTTTCTAAAAGCAATATTTACTCAATTTAAATGCTACCTCATTGATATGCGATAATGTCCTTTCTACATTTTTGGTAATAAAAAGTCCCTTATAATGGTGATAGAAGATGGTAGTTTTCTGTACCTACACTTAGTCGGCAGCTCCATGTCAGTCCCCTCCACAATCAATTTTTTTTTGACATGTCACTAATTTTTCTAAGCCTTTAAATCTATGAGCCACTAATGTAGTCCAGTCCTGCCATGTTACAAAAGAGGATTTTCAGGCCCAGTGAGGCTGAATGACTTTACCCAAAGTTTCCTAATGTCCCTGGTTGTATTTTCCCCAGCAGGACAGAAACATCCTCATATGGTGGGATAGAAGAATGCAGGCTTCACAGACAGATCTAGATGCAAATCCTGGGCTCAAATGAGCTACTTACTAGGATAGGACCTTGGCAAGACCATGGAATTCTCAGATCTTAGTTGTTGCTTTTGTTTGCTACTTTTAAAACCAGGACAGTTCTGGCATTAAAAGGAAGTCCTGGCCAGGCGCGATAGCTCATGTCTGTAATCCCAGCACTTTGGGAGGCTGAGGCAGGTGGGTCACCTGAGTTCAGGAGTTCAATACCAGCCTGGCCAACATGATGAAACCCTGTCTCTGCTAAAAATACAAAAAGTTAGCCAGGTGTGGTGGGCGGGTGCCTGTAACTCCAGCTACTCAGGAGGCTGAGGCAGGACAATCGCTTGAACCCGGGAGGCAGAGGTTGCAGTGAGCCAAGATCGCACTACTGCACTCCGGCCTGGGCAACAAGAGCAAAACCGTCTCAAAAAAAAAAAAAATTAAGTGAAGTCCCTTTCAAAGGGCAGAACCAGACTTCTTCACAGCAACATGCAAAGCCAGAAGGCAATGAGTCAACATCTATGAGGTTATTAATTTAATCATGAAAGCAATAGGCAGATTTTGTCCAACAGAAATGATTTTAGGGAACCTGGCATGCAAGGAAAACCACTCCACGGGGACATCTGCCAACTAAGAGAGGAATCAAAATGCAGAATTTGGGAATGAAAAAGCTATGAGGGATAAGTATTGGATGTGTTTAGATATAGAATTAGTGCTAAAAACTGAATGAATTAAGATTTGGAAATAGAATATGTTATAAAACTCTGATAGAGTAAAAATAATATAGGCAACAAAACAGGAGGTATGGAAAGAAGAATGAGATGTTCTTCTGCTTATTTTTGGTGTATATCTATATATATCCTAGCACAGTTCCTGGCATATTGTAGGCACTCAATAGATGCTGAGGGCTATTATTATGGCTTTCTTGAGGAGGTGAATAAGAGCTTTAAATTCTAACTATCATACCCCCCTGTATTAGTTGGGGTTCTTAGTTGCAGACGTAAGCATCCAATCTGTTTGATTTAAAGGATATCAAGTGACTCACAGAATTTCCAGAGGGTCTTGGAAGATCCGCAGACAGGAACAGGGGTCAAATCACTTTGCAGGAGGGCTCTAGTGAAGACAGCCACACTGCCACCACCACAAGGCATGGACCACACAGTACCCACCACTGATCCTGGCAAAAAAAGGACTCTGTTTGTGCCTGCTTCCTTTCTCTCTTCTTTTTTTTTTTTTTTTTTTTTTTTTGAGACAGAGGCTCACTCTGTCACCCAGGCTGGAGTGCAGTGGCATGATCTTGGCTTGCTGCAACCTCTGCCTCCCGGGTTCAAGCAATTCTCCTTCCTCAGCCAGCTGAGTAGCTGGGATTATAGGAATGAACCACCATGCTCAGCTAATTTTTGTATTTTTAGAGAGATGGAGTTTCACCATGTTGGCCAGGCTGGTCTCAAACTCCTGACCTCAAGTGATCTGCCTGCCTCATCCTCCCAAAGTGCTGGGATTACAGCCATGAGCCACCGCATCCGGCCCATTTATCTCTTCTAAATACAAGTCCTAGGCAGGTGCCTCTGACTTATGGTGCCAAGTAACAGGCCAGTATCCCAGCAACAAGAAAGGCTGTGGTACCAAGGTCCTGGCTTCTACCTTGCAGAGGCTGGCCTCATGATGCGGGAGATCCCCAGCTGCAGGGAGGGCTGCAAAGATGCCATGCAGCCTCAGAAAGGGCAATTGCTGTCCACTCCACCTCCTAAATACCCCTTCCGATGCTTGGTGATCCAAAAACCAAAAGAATCCTGAGAGCACCTGAAACCTATGGTAAATTGATTTCTTACTTATTCAAAGGTTCTGCTAATTCACGGAAATATATTTACGTAAAATTCTAAAATCTCAGAGAAGGGACCCCTCATCCAATGTAAAAACACTGTTATCAGAGACCTCTCAGTTCTTAGCTGAAAGAAGGAGAGAGTTGATGTTATTAAAAAATATAGGCTGGGCATGGTGGCTCACACCTGTAATCCCAGCACTTTGGGAGGCCGAGGTGGGTGGATCACCTGAGGTTAGGAGTTCAAGACCAGCCTGGCCAAGATGGTGAAGCCCTGTCTCTACTAAAAATACAAAAAATTAGCCGGGCGTGGTGGGGGGCACCTGTAATCCCAGCTACTCAGGAGGCTGAGGCAGGAGAATCACTTGAACCTGGGAGGCAGAGGTTGCAGTGAGCCAAGATCGTGCCATTGCACTCCAGCCTGGGCAACAGAGAAAGACTCCATCTCAAAAAAATAAAAAAAATAAAAAATATATATATATGTGTATATATATGTGTGTGTGTATATATATGTTATATATGTTTTATATGCATGTTATATATATGTTATATATGTTATATATGTGTTATATATATGTTATATATATGTAATATATATAACATATATATTACATATATATATACTTGGTGTAAAGAAAAACATAGTTTTACTGTACATATAGAGTTCAGTACTATCCATGGTTGCAGACATCCACCTGGGGGTCTTGGAACAAATGCTTCATGGAGAAGGAGGAACTACTGTTCCTGACCCTTAGCCTGCAAGGACACAGGCATTCTGAAGAGGATGGCTATAGAGAAGGAAGAAGTAGAGAAACCTCTCCAGATGAAGCAGATGTGTCCCAACAGCATCCTTTGTGATAAACAACAGTATTAAAGGTAAAACTAGCATAGGTGGAAGAGAAATGTTTTAAGACATCAGATGGAGATCCTTTGCTTTAAAAAATATTAAATACACCTCAACAAACTAGGCATAGAAGGCACATGCCTCAAAATAATAAAAGCCATCTATGACAAACCCACAGCTAACATCATACTGAATGGGGAGAAGTTGAAACCATCCCCCCTAAGAACTGGAACAAGACAAGGATGCCCACTGTCACCATTTCTGTTAAATATAGTACTGGAGGCCAGGCGCGGTGGCTCACGCCTGTAATCCCAGCACTTTGGCAGCCTGCAGTGGGTGGATCATGAGGTCAGGCATTCAAGACCAGCCTGGCCAACATAGTGAAACCCCGTCTCTACTAAAAATACAAAAAATTAGCTGGACGTGGTGGTGGGCACCTGTAATCCCAGCTACTCGGGAGGCTGAGGCAGGAGAATCACTGGAACCTGGGAGGTGGACGTTGCAGTGAGCCAAGATGGCGCCACTGCACTTCAGCCTGGGTGGCAGTGTGAGACTCCATCTCAAAAAAAAAAAAAAAAAAAAAAAAAAATATATATATATATATATATATATATATATATATATATATATATATACTTATTTATCTATTATATATATGTATCTGGAAATCCTAGCCAGAGCAGTCAGGGAAGAGAAAGAAAGAAAGGGCATCCACATTGGAAAAGAGAAAGTCAAACGATCTCTGTTTGCCAATGATATGATTGTATGATTGTATACTTAGAAAACCCTAAAGACTCCTCCAAAAGACTCCTAGACTGATAACTAAATTCAGTAAATTCTCAGGTTACAAAAATCAATGTGCACAAATTAGTAGCACTGCTATACACCAACAATGACAAAGCTGAGAATCAAATCAAGAACTCAATGCCTTTTACAATAACTGCAAAAAAATAAAAATAAATAAAATACCTACACATATACTCAACCAAGGAGGTAAAAGATCTCTACAAGGAGAATTACAAAACACTGCTGAAAGAAATCACAGATTATGCAACCATATGGAAATTTGTTACATTCCATGCTCATGGATTGGAATTATCAGTATCAAGAATAAATATACTGCCCAAAGCAGGTTGAATGCAATTCCTATCAAAATACCAACATCATTTTTCACAGAATTAGAAAAAAAATCCCAAAATTCATATGGAACCAAAAAAGAGCCCATAGCCAAAGCAATCCGAAGCAAAAAAAAATTAATAATAATAATAAATAAATTCTGGAGGCATCACATTACTCAACTTCAAATTATACTGCAAGGCTATAATAATCAAAACAGCATGGTTCTGGTATAAAAGTAGATACATAGACCAATAGAACAGAATAGAGAACCCAGAAATAGTCAAATACTTACAACCAACTGATTTTTGACAAAGCATACAAAAATACAAACTGGGGAAAGGACACCATATGCAATAAATGGTGCTAGGAAAACTGGATAGCCATATGTAAGAGAATGAAATTTGATCCCTATCTCTCACCTATACAAAAAATCAACTCAAGATGCATCAAAGACTTAAAATAAGACCTGCAACCATAAAAAGTATAGAAGAAAACCTAGCAAAAACAATCTTGGACATTGGTCTAGGCAAAGAATTTATGACTAAGACCCCAAAAGCAAATGCAATAAAAAGCAAAAATAAATCAATGGGACCTAATTAAACTAAAAAGCTCCTGTACAGCAAAAGAAATAACCATCAGAGTAAACAGACAACCCACAGAGTGGGAGAAAATATTTGTAAACTATGCATCTGGCACAACTAATATCCAAAATCTACAAGAAACTCAAACCAGCAAGAAAAAAACAAATAATCCCATCAAAAAGTGGGCAAAAGGCTGGGTGCAGTGGCTCACACCTATAATCCCAGTACTTTGGGAGGCCCAGGCAGTAGGATCACTTAAGCCCAGGAATTTGAGACCAGCCTAGGCAACATGGCAAAACCCTATCTCTACAAAAAATACAAAAATTATCTGGGCTTGGTGGTGTGACCCTGTAGTCCTAGTTACCCAAGAGACTGAAGTAGGAGGATCACTTGAGCCTGGGAGGTCGAGGCTGCAGTGAGCCTTGATCACACCACTGCATGACAGAGTGAAACCCTGTCTCAAAAAAAAAAAAAAAAAAGAAACAAACAAACAAAAAGTAGGCAAATGACATGAATAGATATCTCTCAAAAGAAGAAAAAGAAGATATACAGGTGGTCAATAAACATGAAAAAATGCTCAACATCACTAATCATCAGAGAAATGCAATTAAAACCACAATGAGATACTACTTTGCCCCTACCAGAATGGCTGTTATTAAAAAGCCAAAAAACAATAGATGCTGGTATGGATGTGGTAAAAAGGGAATGCTTATATACTGCTGGTAGTAATGTAAATTAGTACAACCTTTATGGAAAACAGCATGGAGATTTGTCAAAGAACTAAGGGTAGATCTACCATTCAATTCAGCAATCTCACTACAGGGTATCTACCCAAAGGGAAAGAAGTCATTATATCAAAAAGATGCCTGCATGCATGTGTTTATCACAGCTCAATTCACAGTTGCAAAAATATGGAACCAACCTAAATGCCTATCAACTGATGATGGATAAAGAAAGTGAGATATATATACACCATGGAATACTCCTTAGTCATAAAAATGAGTGAAATAATGTCTTTTGCAGAAACTTGGATGGAGCTGGAGGCCATTATTCTAAGTGAAGTAATTCAGGAGTGGAAAACCAATTGCTGTATGTTCTCAGTTGTAAGTGGAAGCTAAGCTATGAGTATGCAAAGACATAAAGAGTGGTATAATGAACATTAGATATTTGGAAAGGAGGGTTGGGGGTGAGGGATAAAAAAAACTACATATTGGATACAATGTACACTACTCAGGAGACAGATGCAGTAAAATCTCAGAATTCACCACTATACAAGTCATCCATGTAACCAAAAACCACTTGTACCTCAAAAGCTATTGAAATAAAAAATATATATATTAATAACACCAGAAATATAGAATACTGAAATCTCAAGATGAGAAGAGATCTTAGCCATCAACTACCCTAAAATGCCTAAAAACTCTTCAAAAATGCCTAAATCCTCTCTCATCTGAGTAAATGTCCCAGGGACAGGGAGCTCGTTTGCTCCGATGAAGACCCCTATAGAGCTCCGTAGCTTCAACTGGAGGAACGTCCTTTCCTAATTTCAACCCAGCGATTTTCTCTGCTTGGAAGAGAGTCCTCTCAGAAGGGGTAAGGAGCTTGGAGAGAGGAGTGGAGAAAGTGGATTTAGGTTAGGGCTGCATGGGGACAGATATAAGCAAACTAATCAGGAGAGAGGAGAGTTGACAGTGCAGAGGAGGGTCTGTTGTCCTCCTACATGAAGGTAGGGTAGGCTCCACATACTGAGAAGCACTGGCCAAAGGGGACAGATTCTTTTGCTCTGGGTCCCAGGGTGAGGCCTCAGCAGACACAGCCAACTTTCCAGGGACTCTGGAAAAATGTGTGAAGAGCAAGAACTCCCTGCTCATCTCTGTGACTTCTCCCCAGCCATCCTCACAGGCATGGTGGGGAGGGCAGAGGCTGAAGAGATAGTGGGTGAGGGTGGATGACATTGGCTATTCATGCAGGCTTCCTGGGTGCACATCCCCACTTACTAGCTCCGTGACCCTGGGCACATTATTTTTAATCACTTTGTGCCTTAGTTTCTTCAAATGTTAACAATAATAGAATGTACCTGTTGGAGTTATCATGAGAATTAAACGAGTCAATATTCATGAAATACGGCATTTATTAATACAATCATATGTATTAAATTGCATGTATAAATGTACCTATTTGTTAAATGTAATACATTTTGTAGTTCACACTGTGAATCAATCAATTGAACTGTGACTTGGGTTTCACCATGTATGTAGCTGATTTCACATAATGCCGTGTTTTTTTTTTAGCATATTCCCAACAACCTCCTAAACTGTGAAACAAGTTGAGAAGCACACTGTAATGAGAGGAGCACATCCTACTCACTCTCTTGCCCCCTAACACGGTGCTTGTGTCCAAAGAATTAAGTCAGAGTAACCTTTAATGGTAATGGAAATTTGAGGCCATGAATATTCACTGAGCCTCTCTCTGTCCCCTTATTGATAGGCATCACAATAAAGCAAATTTTCTCCTCCTACTTCTCTACAGTGGCAGATAGGTCGAAAGACTCACTGACATCAATGCTATTGATTCATAAATGTGTATTATTCTTAAATTTCTATTATTAGCTTCTTGGTCATCACCCACTAGACTGTGGACTCCTCAAGAACAAAGACCTCAGTCTTACTTATCTATTTGTTTTGGTATCAACCCCTACTCCCCCTGTGAACACATGGTAGGTGCTTAATAAGTACTTGTAAAATTGGCTTTCATTTCAGTCCCTCCCCATTCCATAATGCCCCATTCTCTACCCTCTTTAGTTCGTGCATTTGGCTAAAGATCAAAGATCAAGTTGGCCTCTTTGGCTAATTTATTCTTTTTTTTTTTTTGACGCCCAGCAGGAAACGCAGTTAATTTTTTCTTAAATACCCTTGTGAATGTGCCAACCAGTTGACATTTCAGGGGTAGTATGCTTAGTAATAGACAATTGTGTCATATACCTAAAACAAGGTTCAGGGTCCATGATTCTCTGGTCTATCAGCAGTAACAACTTTCTGTAAGTTACTAATAATGTGACGTTGCAACATGTGGGTAATAAAACAGGGAATCAATTGACTTATGGAAGGCTAAAATTAGAAATGAGCTCAGGAAATGTTGGTATCACTCAACTTCCCAGTCCTATTTTACAGATAAGAAAACTAAAGATCAGAGAAGGCAAAGTATTTTGCAGGTTACATAGCTGGTTTATAGAAGGTTGGAATAAGAGTCCAGTTTATTATCCTTTCTGTGGCATACGTAGTCATTGAAAGTGTGTGTCATAAAAGCACGTAAGCTACAGAAGCGTACGGGAGAGGGCAGGCCCACAAGCACAGCTGTGTTGACTGACTAGGCAGGATACAGGCAGATGTCATCGGTGATTCTGGAAGAAGGCCTGGTTGGAGAACATGGGCAGGGATGTGGGGCAGGCATAGATAAGTGTCTAGATTAAACAGTGACAGTGTGGCGTGGTGAGTACAGCATGGCCTTGAAACCTGGGACTTAATCCCAGATCTGACACATATCCCTTCGTTACTTAACTTCTCTATTGCTGAATTTTTTAGTCAGTAAAAATGTGCCCGTAAAACTGACTTCTCAGAGTTGAGTTAAAGGAGACAATGGATGTCTTATAATATTCAACCTAGCCTCAGGAAAGAGTTCTGAAAGATGGTGGTTTCTGACATCCTAATGGAGGTCAAGCCTTGTGGTCATTCTAGGAGGTTAAAATTGAGAGCCCATTTCCCCTGTCAATCTTTGGGACACTGCTGGACAATGATGAGCTCTTATGTTGGTGAGGGAGCACCTATCCTCATTGAGCTGATAGCTCTCTAGATCAGGGGTTGGCAAGCTATACGCCATGAGTTAGAATCAGCCAGTTGCCTATTTTTGTAGGATCCACAAGCTAAGAATTATTTTTGCATTTTAAATCACTAAAATAAAATTTTAAAGTAATAATTTGTAAAATGTGAAAATTATATAGAATCCAAATTTTAGTGTCCACAAAGTTTTATTGGAACACAGCCACACTCATTTGAGTGTATATAATCTGTAGCTGCATTTGTGCTGTAATAGCAGAGTATAATAGTCATGACAGAGATTGTATGTGATGCTGTCACCACTGCACGCTGAAACAGAACACTACACATCCCAGTGATGAAGCTATGACTCAACAATATTTCAAATGCCATGCATATGGTCATACCGTGACATTATCTTTCTTTCTTTCTCCCTTCCTTCCTTCCCTTCCTTTTCTTTCTTTCTTTTTCTTTTTCTTTCTTTCTTTCTTTCTTTCTTTCTTTCTTTCTTTCTTTCTTTCTTTCTCTTTTCTTTCTTTCTCTTCTTTCTTTCTTTCTTTGTTTCTTTCTTTCTTTCTTCTTCTTTTCTTTTTTTTTTTTTTGAGATAGAGTCTTACTCTGTCACTGAGGCTGGAGTGTAGTGGCATAGTCTTGGCTCACTGCAACTCTGCCTCCCAGGTTCAAGTGATTCTCCTGCCTCAGCCTCCCAAGTAGCTGGGATTACAGGTGCCTGCCACCACACCTGGCTAATTTTTGTATTTTTTGTAGAGACAGGGTTTCACCATGTTGTCCAGGCTGGTCTCGAACTCCTGGCCTCAAACAATCTGCCTGGCTCGGCCTCCAAAAGTGCTGGAATTACAGGCATGAGCCACAGCGCCTAGCCCATTTTCTTTTCTTTTTATTAAATTACCAATGCATACCCATCATGTCAAAACAAGAAAAGAAGAGAAAAGGGGACTTTAAATGTCATGCATTTAAGTCACAGTATGAATTATTTTGGGGTGTGGAATAGGGATTATTTTGTTATCAAAATAGATGGCAAAGCATTGTGTGTACTATGCAATGACAGTATAGGTAGGCTAAAATAATAGTTCATGTTAATATTACTACACTAAGCACATATCACAATATTCCCAAGTCATAGGAAAGCAGCCATAGAAAAAAACAGAAAATTTAAAATGGAACGTCTCATCATAGCAGAATTTCTTCTTAAAATTAAATAATGAAAAGGAGGCTGCAACTAAAGCAAGTTTCTGAGTGCTTCATTTGTAAGCCAAGCAAGGAAAGCCATTTAGGGATGAGTTGATTACATTGTGTTTGATTGCAACAGCCAAAGAAATGTATCCAGAGGAAAGAAACTTGTTCAAGACCATGCAAAACTTGCTTAAGACTGCTTTGGAGAGAATAGTTGCTCGGAGAGTTGAAATCATTGGGAACAGTATCAACAGTTAATTTAAAAACAAGGCAAATGACTTTGGGTGGTTTTCTTTGAATCTTGATGAGCTGACAGTTGCTACCAATACGGCTCTGCTGTTTATTTAAGGAGTCAATGACAAGTTTGAAATGACTAAAGAATTAGCCTATATAGCCTCTGTGGAACAACTATAGGCAAGAATAATTTTAATGGAATTATACACTTTAAATGGGTGCATTTTATAATATGTGGATTAAATCTCAATAAATCTGGGTTTTTTTTGTTGTTTAATGAATATTTTCAAAGAACTTAGAAATGCAATATTTTGGTATAAACTGAAGTAGACTCCTCTAAGATGTATTACAATTGACGGTGGTAGAAATATGTTGGAACAGAACCATCTGCAGTTGGGCACGCTTGCAAAGCTTGTAAAATTGTGAGGCATTTAAAATATATGGTTATTCACTGTACGCAGGAGCAAGTATTTTGCAGAAAATGTTTGAATACATCATGTGTTATTGAACCAGTAGTGTCGAGTGAGCCTTATACCCTCTAAATAGACTTAATCATCATTGGTTCCATGAATTTTTGTCAGATAGAGAAGCTGAATACTCTCACTCACCCTACTGTACAGCAGTTTCATGGCTTAGCAGTGGCAACATTTTATTGCAAGTTTTTGAGCACAGTGCTAAGATTAAAATTTTGAGTCAGAAGAACCACTTTCAACCACTATTATCAAACACTGGATGGCTTTTGAAATAATCTTTGGTTGAAGGTTAGATAATACTTCTCTTTTTTTGTTTGTTTTGTTTTGTTTTGTTTTGTTTTTTGGCTTGAGATAGAGTCTCGCTGTCGCCCAGGCTGGAGTGCAGTGGCCCAATCTCAGCTCACTGCAACCTCCGCCTCCTGGATTCAAGCGATTCTCCTGCCTCATCCTTCTGAGTAGCTGGGACTATGTGTGTGCCACCACACTCGGCTATTTTTGTATTTATAGTAGCAACAGGGTTTCACCATGTTGGCCAGGCTGGTCTCGAACTCCTGACCTCAAGTGATCTGCCCACCTCAGCATCCCAAAGTGTTGGGATTATAGTCATGAGCCACTGCACCTGAGCAGATAATGCTTCTTAATGAATTCAACTTATAATTACCAGGCAAAACGGCACTTACATGCAAATTTTATCCTTCGGTAAAGTCATTTTAACAACTGATGTTGTATGACTCATGAGTAATGTAAAGCAGTTTTCCTTACTTACCAGGTGGTCAAAAGTTACAATGAGAAGCAAGATCTCCCTTCCCACACAAATTTGCAGCAGACATATTTTATGAAGTTAAACTATCGTCTCAACAGCTGCTTTCTGTCCCCCAGTGCAAGTGCAAAGAAAGTTTTTTGAAATTTCCGTATCTCAAAATCTATTTTCTGTGGTCATTGCAAAAGATTATGTGTAGCAGAGGAAGGCCTTTTCTGAGTAAAAATTTCCTTTAAGTCGGTCCTGTCTCAAATTGCCCTGGAGGGGTTTCCATCTAATCAGTCCTAACTCATTAAAAGAAAAAAATTCTTTTTTTTTTTTTTTGGTAACAGTTTTATTGAGATATAATTCACACACCAAACAATTTAATTCACTCATTTCAATTCAGTGCATCAGCCAGGTACAGTGGCTCAAACTGCACTTTGGGATGCCAAGGCGGGAGGATCACTTGAGGTCAGGAGTTTGAGACCAGCCTGGCCAACATGGTGAAACCCCAACTCTGCTAAAAATACAAAAATTAGCTGGACGTGGTGGTGAGCACCTGTAATCTCAGCTACTCGGAAGGTTGAGGCAGGAGGATCACCTGAGCCCAGGAGGCAGAGGTTACAGTGAGCCAACATCATGCCACTGTACTCCAGTCTGAGCAACAAAGTGAGACTCTGTCTCAAAAATAAAAAATAAAAATAAAAAGTAAATTCAGCGCATCACCACAATCATTAACAATCAATTTTAAAACATTTCCATCATTCCAACAAGAAACCTGAACTTCTCAGCCATCATACTCCAAGCCCCCCATGCCCCTCAATCCCTTGACAACTACTAGACTGTTTTTCGCCTCTGTGGATTTGCTTATTCTGAACATTTATTATAAATGGAATCATACAATATGTGGTCTTTTTTGTCTGGCTCCTTTCACTTAGCATAATATTTTCAAGGTTCATCTATGTTGTAGCATGTAGTTAGTACTTCATTCCTTTTTATGGTCAAATAATATAGACGGTCCTTGACTTATAATAATTTGACTTATGATCTTTTGACTTTACAGTGGTACCCATACTGTTTTCACTTTCAATACAGCATTCAAGAAATTACATGAGATATTCAAAACTTATTATAAAATAGACTTTGTGTTACATGGTTTTACCCAACCATAGACGATGTAACTGTTCCAAGCATGTTTAAGGTAGGCCAGATTAAGTAATAATGTGTGGTAGGTTGGATGTATTAAATGCATTTTCAACTTATGATGTTTTCAACTTATAATGGGTTTATTGGAACATAACTCTATTGTAAGCTGAAGAGCATCTGTATTCCATTACATAGATATACCACGTTTTGTTTATCTATTCATCAGTTGATGACATTGAGTTGTTTCTACCTTTTGGCTATTATGAATAATGCTGCTATGTATATTCATGTATGAGTTTTTTGTGTGGACATATTTTCATTTCTCTTGAGTATATATTTAGGAATGGAATTACTGCATCAAAATCATAACTCTATGTCTAACTTTTTGAGGAATTGTCATACTATTTTCCAGATTGGCTGCACCATTTTACATTCTCACTAGCAGTGTATCACAGTTCCAATTTCTCCACGTACCCACCAACACTTGCAATTACCTTTTTTGTTGATGGTTATTCTAGCGACTATGAAATGGTATCCAGCTCACTCTTAATTCTCCAAGTTGGGGCAATGGGGAAAGCAATCATTCATACTACTCCATGCTTGGTCCATGTGAGGACACCACCCTAGGAGCTCAGCTCTGTAAGAACTTCAGGTTATTTCCATTGAAAATGTAAGTTTTTTTCAAGGTAGGAAAGAATCCCAGAGATTACGTCCTATTGGTAACTAGTTTTTATTTTCTTTTTCTGTTTTTTTTTTTTTTTTTTTTTTTTTTTTTGGCAGAGTCTCACTTTGTCCTTCAGGCTGAAATGCTGTGGCGCGATCTCGGCTCACTGCAACCTCCACCTCCTGAGTTCAAGTGATTCTCGTGCTTCAGCCTCCCAAGAAACTGGGATTACAGCCATGTGCCACCACATCTGCCCAGTCTTTCTTTCTTTCTTTCTCTTTCTTTCTTTCTTTCTTTCTTTTTCTTTCTTTCTTTCTTTCTTTTTCTTTCTTTCTTTCCTTCTTTCTTTCGTTCTTTCCTTCGTTCTTTCTTTTCCTTTTCCTTTTTTTTTAGATGGCGTTTTGCCATGTTGGCCAGGTTGGTCTCGAACTCCTGGCCTCAAGTGATCCACCTGCCTTGGCCTCCCAAAGTGTTGGGATTACAGGCGTGAGTTACCACGCCCGGCCAATAATTAGTTTTTCAATTCACAAACCCACATATTATGTCACCCTCTAAGAAGCCATTATTGGCAATATGGAGATATTTTTCAAGGCACTGTAAATATTTGCAGGGCAGGTTATTTACGCAGCAGGCATTAGGATGTGATCCCTTCTGGAGAGTTCCATAGACAGTATTGCCCCAGCCTCACCTCTTACCTCTCACCCTCCTTCTAGTGATTTATAGAGACCCTAAAGGATCTTTCTGACGAAGGGAGGTGACTTGAATTCTGCAAACAGTATTAAGACAAATGCAAACACTGACCAAGGCTAAATTGCAAAGGAGAAACCAGGACCTCTGGAGAGGAGTTGCTGTAAAGAAAGGAGCCTCATGAGGGAGTCAGGCCCAGCATCAGGGCAGGAGCTCAGAGGGAAGGGTGGTTTCTGGTCCTGACCTGCATGGCAGCTGCTAACCAGGGTAGTGCTGAGATTGGGATATTTGCCCCTAAAGAAACTCAATCAAGGGCTATTTATTGAGTGCCTACTGTATGCCTACCCCTGCTGGGTATTGTTCTTACTGGGTGAACATCACAATGTTTCAAGGTGAGGTTTTCCTGTTAAACATGCTCCCACCATATCCTGAATGTGTCCTTTATAAAAGTACTCTGCACAGTTCTTGCTGCAGAAATGATGGCTCTAGTTCATTGCTGTATCTCCAGAGCCTAGAACAGTGTCTGTCCCTGATAGTGCTCATGGTACTCTCAAGTATTTGGTGAATGAAGGAAAAACCCTAAATTCAACATATTGTTGCAAGTTTCCTTTGTTATCAACTATAAGCTGAGTTTTAATGGCTACACAAGACCCTTCTCATGAACTCACCAAATTTGTCTTGACCAAGCCACAACTTTTAGACATTTATATAGTTTTACTGGGTGTGGTGGCTCACACTTGTAATCCCAGCACTTTGGGAGGCTGAGGCAAGAGGATCACTTGAGCCCAGGAGTTTGAGACCTGCCTGGGCAACATGGTGAGACCTTATCTCTGAAAAAAAAAAAAACTAAATTTTTTTCTTTGAAAAACAATAATGAGACCGGGTGCGGTGGCTCACGCCTGTAATCCCAACACTTTGAGAGGCCAAGGCGGGCGGATCACCTGAGGTTGGGAGTTCGAGACCAGCCTGACCAACATGGAGAAACCCCGTCTCTACTAAAAATACAAAATCAGCTGGGTGTGGTGGCACATGCCTGTAATCCCAGCTACTCGGGAGGCTGAGGCAGGAGAATTTCTTGAACCCGGGAGGCGGAGGTTGCGGTGAGCTGAGATCACGCCACTGCACTCCAGCCTGGGCAACAAGAGCGAAACTCCATCTCAAAACAAAACAAAAAAACACAAAAAAATACAAAAATAATGATATATTTATACAAATGTATTTGAGCATATGTCTGGCTATTTCCTTGGGATAAATTCCTAGAATGGAATTGCTTGATCAAGAGATAGATCCATTTTAAAGGTCTGTGATACATATTGCTGAATTTCCCTCCTCCAAAGGCTGTTTAAATACCTTCCCTACTGCTGTGTTTGAGGCCTGTTTCCCACACATCATTGCCAACAGCAACCATTGCCATTCTCTTCATCTTTGCCAGTTAAATAACCTCAACATCATGGTATCTAATTGGTTCCCAGGGCTAAAGCAATCTCTAGGAAATTGCTTATGAGTATGTGTCAAAGGCAAATTTGCCATCAAGTAAAAGGTTTCTGAGAAAGTCAAATCAAAGATTTCCTCTGGCAAAGGTGACTTGGAGCAACAACAATAAAATAGAACGTGTAGTTAAAGATTATGGAGATAGTTGTGAGTTGAGTTCAAGCTTTGCATGTCTGTCTAAATGTCATTATGTTCTCCCGGAACTGTCAGCTACACGGAGAGACTTTCCAGGAATGGGTTCCTATTGCATTAAAGTTGATAAGTTTAGCTCTAGCTCTGGCATTGTTCAATTTTCTCTTTTATTAGCATGTTGTGACATTTTTCATGTGGTAGAAAATGTGTATTTCTTTTTTAGTTAACTCACCTGTTTGCTTCTCTGCTCTCACACTTTCGAAGGCCCTCTTCCTTGCCATTCACCCTACGGTGTGCCCTAGCACAGTGTTTTCCAAACCTGTCGGTTTTGTACCTCCCTCATGATTTTTGACAAATCATGTATTATCACTACACTTTCTTACATATTTTTGTTGAAATTGACCTTTTTTAAAAAAATAATTAACTGAATTTTCTTTTTCTTTTTCTTTTTTTTTTTTTGAGACATTGTCTGGCTCTGTCACCTAGGCTGGAGTGCAGTGGCACGATATAGCTCACTGCAGCCTCAGCCTTGAACTCCTGGGTTCAAGCGACCCTACTGCTTCAGACTCCTGAGTAACTGGAACTACAGGCATGTGCCACCATGCTTGGCTAATTTTTATAACCTTTTTTGTAGAGATGGGGGTCTCACCATCTTGCCCAGGCTGGTCTCAAACTCCTGGCCTCAAGTGATCCTCCTGCACTGGTCTTCCAAAGCTCTGGGATTATAGTCATGAGCCAATGTGCCAGGCCAAACTTAATTTTAAAATAAACTTTACAGCTTGGTGTGGTGGTTCACACCTGTAATCTCAGCGCTTTGGGAGGCCAAGATGGAGGATCACTTGAGCCTAGGAGTTTGAGACGAGCTTGGGCAAGATGCTGAGACCCTGTCTCTATGAAAAAAAAAAAAATTTTTTTCTGATTTAGCCAAGCATGGTGGTACATGCCTGTAGTTCCAGCTACTCAGGAGGCTGAGGCGGGAGGCTCACTTGAGCCCAGCAGTTTGAGGCTGCAGTGAGCTGTGACGGTGCCACTGTTCTCCAGCTTGGGTGATAGAGCAAGGCCCTGTCTCCAGAAAATAGATAAATAAATAAAAGCAAATTAACTTTACATCACCACCCCAAATTTAGAAGAAAAAAAAACTAGTTTCCTTTGCCATGGATAGAAAATAGCCATAAGAAACATAAACAAAAATAAAGTGTTATTAGATTACCAGGAGTTTGGTTGCCAAAGGCTCTGTGTCTGGGGCCTGAGCTCTCTTCCTCACAAAGAGAAATATGTAATTATTAGAGAAGAGTTAAAGATATCTTAGCAATACATGAGATTTTCTCATTGTGTAATCAGAATGACTGAAATTTGAAAAGGCATAACTTTCCCCTCCAAGTGAATCACTGTTATCTAACGCTGTGTCCATGGACACTTAAAATCATCTTGTGTGCCACGAAGGCAGTGGTCCTCAGAGCTGAGCACCAGCAGAGTCACACTAAAAATACAAAAATTATCCAGGTGTGGTGGCACATGCCTGTAATCCCAGCTACTCAGGAGGCTGAGGCAGGAGAATCACTTGAACCTGGGAGGCCGAGGTTGCAGTGAGCTGAGATCATGCCATTGCACTCCATCCTGGGCAACAAGAGTGAAACTCCATCTCAAAACAAAACAAACAAACAAACAAACAAACACAGATTGCTGATTCAGTAGGCCTAGGTGGGGCCTGAGAATATGCATTTCTAAAATGTTTCCAGGTCATGCTGGTGCTGCTGGTCTGGGGAACACATTTTTGAGGACTGATGCCCTAGTTGTATCATCTCTCATTTTAGGAATAACTGGACTGGGTAAGGCTGAGAGGTACAAACCCCAAAGAGGGGCAAACCTACTCCCACCCATTGTTTTCAGTTTTCCTCAGAGCAACAAGTCCAGGCCTGGTGCTAGCATCTCTGAGGACAATGTTTTAATCTCTGGAACCACTCGCTTCCTCTCTGAAGAGATCTGAATTACAATTTGTGGCCACCGCAAGAGCTTTCTGATCTCAGTCAAACCTCCCATAGTCTTGATGGGTGAGTAGAGGAGGAAGTGGGTGAGAAATCAAACTCCTTCCTGGGGAAAATCTCTTTATAGAACTTCTCCAAGAGTTTCATTCCAAAAGATAATAAAATGAAATAAAATAACAAAATAAGAAGCCCACAAAATCTCTCATGATGTGAAATTTATTTTTAGAGCTGACTAAACTCAGTGAGGTGAGTAGATAAGCAATTGTGAAATTTTATAAGCCAAGACTCAAAAAGCCAATGCCTGCTCCTTTTGAAGGTCAAGGTGTTTTGGAACACATCTCCAGTGGTTAAACACATGGCTCGGCGCAGCGGCTCTCGTCTGTAATCCCAACACTTTGGGAGGCCAAGGCGGGCAGACTCCTTGAGCTAAGGAGCTCAAGACAAGCCTGGGCAACATAGTAAGACCCCATCTCTATTAAAAATACAAAATTTAGGCAGGCGTGATGGTTGCAACGCCTGTAGTCCCAGCTACTTGGAAGTCTGAGGTGGGAGGATTAGGCGGAGGTTGCAGTGAGCAGAGATTGCACCACTGCACTGCAGCCTGGGCGACAGAGTGAGACCCTGTCTCTCAAAGAAAAAGAAAATCTATACATTCGTACTTGACCCTTTCTCTGAGCCCATTACATCGTGGGTGTAAGAAGTGGAAGTCGCCATGAGAGTGCTCGACCGCCGTCCTGCCACCCAACAAAGCAAGTCATTTTCATGTGTTCGTGTTTCCTGCCAGCGCTTATCTTTATGGAGGCAAATTATGGAGGCATGGTTTTTACATAATTAGAGATATAATGAGAATCCTGCCTCTTCAACTTCTATTGTAGTAGAATAAGCACTTCCCCATAAGCACTTCCCCTCACGGCTGCGGTCTTCTGCATCGTACCGTGTGTGGATAGAGTCCTACCTCTCATCAAGGGTGGTCACCACATTTAAACCTCTGTTGTTGGGTAAGGTTGTTTTCAATTATTTATACTGTATATATGTAATACTGCAGCAAACATATCTGTACATATAATTTTCCCTTCATTTGAAATTATTCCTTGACCAGGCACTGTGGCTCACGCCTGTAATCCCAGCACTTCGGGAAGCCGAGGCAGGAAGATTGCTTGAGGCCAGAGTTCAAGACCCCCGTCTCTACAAAACTTAAAAAAAAGATTTTTTTGAAGAAATTATTTAAGATAAAGTTCCAGAAGTAAATTTCTCAGTCACAGGGTAAAAACTTTTTTGTTTGTTTGTTTGTTTGTTTTTTAAGACAGGGTCTGGCTCTGTCACCCAGGCTACAGTGCAATGGCACAATCACAGCTCACTGCAGCCTCAACCTCCTCCCACCGGCTCATGAGGCTCAAGCAATCCTCCCACCACAGCCTCCTGAGTAGCTGGGACCACAGGCATGCAACACCATGCTCGACTAATTTTTTAATTTTTTGTAGAGATGGTGTCTCACTGTATTGCCCAGGCTGGTCTCAAACTCATGGACTTAAGTGATCCTCCCACACTGGCCTCTCAAAATCATGCCCAGCCAAGAACATTTTTAAATTGCTCTTAATACCTGTTGCCAAATTGTAGCATATTACAACGTAGCAATTGTAAAGCATATTGAATTATTTGCACCCCCACCAGAGTTGGATATATCATTGTACACATTTTTAAAAGATGTAAAATATTACACCAGTGTGGTGGCTCACACCTGTAATCCCAGCACTTTGGGAGGCCGAGGCAGGTGGGTCACTAGAGGTCAGGAGTTCGAGACCAACCTGGCCAATTTGGTGAAACCCATCTCTACTAAAAATACAAAAATTAGCCAGGTGGGGTGGTGTGCACCTGTAATCCCAGCTACTCAGTAGGCTGAGGCAGGAGAATTGCTTGAACCTGGTAGGTGGAGGTTGCAGTGAGCAGAGATCATGCCACTGCACACTAGCCTGGGTGGCACAGTGAGACTCCATCTCAAAAAAAAAAAAATTAAAATAAAAAAAAAGAGGTAAAATATAATCTCACTTTTGTTTTAGTTGTAACATCTTTAAGATGAGTAAAGGCCGGGCACAGTGGCTCACACCTATGATCCCAGCGCTTTGGGAGGCCGAGGCGGGTGGATCACGAGGTCAGGACATTGAGACCATCCTGGCTAACACGGTGAAACCCCATCTCTACTAAAAAATAAAAATAAAAAAATTAGCCAGGTGTGGTGGCGGGCGCCTGTAATCCCAGCTACTCGAGAGGCTGAGGCAGGAGAATGGCATGAACCCAGGAGGCGGAGCTTGCAGTGAGCCGAGATTGCGCCACTGCACTCCAGCCTGGGTGACAAAGCGAGACTCCCTCTCAAAACAAACAAACAAACAAAAAAAGATGAGTAAAAAGCTAAATATTCTTCCCCCACATATTTACTTACTAATAATATTTTCTCTTTTGAATAATTTGATCATGACAACCAACTTTTGGAAGATAAATTGTCTGAATGCACTGTGGGTCTGAAGACCCCAAACTGTGTCTTATTTCTTTGCATTCCCTGTTCCCTGCACCTAGAACAAATCGGACGGCCTTCATTCATTCCTTCCTTTCTTCCATAAATCTTTACTGAGCACCTGCCATGTGCCAGCTGTTCTGGATGCTGGAGACAGAGGAGTGGACAGGGAAGAGAAACTCTCATGGAAGTTAGGCAACAGGTAGCTAAACCAGCAAAGAGACAAAGTAATTACATATTGTGATGAGGGCTATGGAGGAAACGAACTGAGGTGGGATGGTCAGGCGAGTAGACCAGCTCCTTTAGATAAGGCCCCCAAGGAAGATCTGGCCTGTCGTTCTCCTGCTTAAATGTTCCCATGGCTTCTGCCATTGTGCTTAGAATAAAATCCACATTCCTTTCCACAGCCTCTAAGATCCTGTAGGATCAGGCCCCAGCCTGCCTCTCTGACAACATCTCCCCCCAGTCTCCTCCTAAATCATGGTGCTCTTCAAACACACCAGACTTGTTCTGGCCTCAGGCCTTTGCACTTACTACTTTTCTAGCTGGAATGCCCTTTTTCTGATGTTTATATGGCAGGCTTCCCTTCAATAGCAGCTCTCAGTTCCGATATCAGCTCCTGCAAGAAGGTTTTGCTGACCATCCTATTTAAAGTAGCACCTCATACCCCACAAGTCACTATCCCATTGTTGTGTTTTATTTTCTTCAGAGCATTGACCACTCTCTAAAATCATTGTATTTAATTACTTTTTTTGCCGACCTCCACTACCCATGATCTCACAGAAGCTTCAGGAGAGCAGAGACCTTCATCATCTTGTTCACTGCTTCATCTTCGATACCTGATGGATGTGCAGAGATGCCTCGAGTACCTGGGAGTGACTGAACAGCCCCCTCCTGAACATTACTCATGTAAAGCAACCATTCACTGAAAAGTTAATTTCAGAGGGTATAAAAAGCAAGAGTGGAAATGGTTCTGTCAATGTGTCATCAATTAGACATTTGAGTTGGGAATATTGCATTCCACAAGTCATTTCTCTGGGAATGGTCTTCTGAATTAGAGAGGAAAATGCTGATCAGCTTCATGTAGTATCTAAATGTGATATCCGTAAATGGTAGTAGTGACTCTGGGAAGGCTATACTCACACCTCTATTGAGGGGCTGGAATTAGTGAGAAGGAGATAGGAGCTTAACATGTATTTACATTTGGTTCTATAGACAGAAAATAATCTTTGGGTCTAACTATTTAATCTTGATAGAATTTTATGTTTTAATGATCCTCTAGAGCCTTATCATGGTACTGCAGTGTTGCAGAATCAAAGTAGCCAAAGAGGAGCTCTTTTGTTTGAGACAGGGTCTCGCTCTCTCGCCCATGCCGTGGTGCAGCAGTGCAATCTCGGATCACTGCAACCTCCGCCTCCAGGGTTCAAGGGATCCTCCTGCCTCAGCCTCCCAAGTATCTGGTACTACAGGCATGCATTACCATGTTAAGATAATTATTTTAAAATTGTTTTGTAGAGACAAGGTCTCACTATATTGCTTAGGCTGGTCTCAAACTCCTGGGCTCAAGCAACCCTCCCACTTTGGCCTCCCAAAGTGCTGGGATTACAGATGTGAGCCACCTCACCTGGCTAGAGAGGCTCTTGATGGATCAAATTCTAATTCTAAATGGCTCTGATATAGCTCTCTTGAGTTTATGCCTAAATAACTGGATATTGCTTTAGATTAATGGGCATGTCCCATTCCTCTGCATAGTCAATAGAATTATTGAAAAGCTCACCCTGAACAATAGTTCTTTTGCAACCAGGTAATTATGGGTAAACAGCTTTTTTTTTTTAGCTGACTTGGTGACAACGTTACCAACATATAACATTGTTTCTGTGGGAAAATGGAGTCTGTGTTCTTGACTTATAGATAAATACTTAGAATTTAGCCATTTCATACTAATAAATATCAACCCTTTTTCCTATCCAGGTTTTGAGTTCTGTGAGAAGTAAAACACAGAGTACAACAGATGGAGACAAAATATTACTTTTATAGAAGCTTATTTTTGAGAATGTGGCTTAGGGCTCCCTCCTTCTGGATCCTTACCTTCTTGGGCACAACAATCCTGAATCCAGGTTATCTCCCCAAATGGAAACTGCAGGATCTGAGGTGAGTATTCCCAGTTTATTCTGAAATAAGTCACTACTCTTCCTTTAGGGCAAAATGAATAAAGACATGCCAAGAGGCCAGGAGTGTTTCAGGAATTAAACTCCCTCCATTAGTGAGGAAACATCAGCCCTGAGGAAGAAGAAGTTTCCCTCATGAAAGCTCTGTGTATTGTCTCTGTCATCCTGCAGTACTGAAGTCCTGTGTGGATGCTTTAGGAGCGGGCATACCGGTGATTGCTGATTTATACTTTGAGGACTGCCTGACTTTCTGGCTGCCCATATTTTTCCAGATGATAAGGCCAGGGAAGAGTCAGGGAGCCAGATGCTTGGCAGTACTCCATGCCTTCCTGGTTATACTTTTCATTCTATGCTCAGCAGATAAGTAATATAGAAAACCATGGAAATATTGACACTGTTGTAATATGGTGGCATCAGTAGACATTAGTGATAGAGCACTGTGGGCGCTACTCACTTGATATCTTGAATCTAAGACATGATGGGGTGTGATAGGCTTCTCCCAGTTTAGGAGACAGGATTTGAGACCCTGCATTTGAGATCCTGCAGCTACTTATGTGACCCCAGGCCACTTTTTCAATTTTTCTAGATTCCTGGTTAGGCTTTTATAAAGTGAATATAGTAAGTTTAAAATGCCATATAAAAATGACAGAAAAGGAGAAAAGATTTGCAATACATATGTAAAGAACTTTTACCATTAAAAACCAAGAAGAAAACCAATTCAACGATACAATGTGCAAATTATTTGAACAGGTACTTTACAAAAGAAGAGACACGAGTGACTAATATGCACATAAAATGATGTTCAACATCATTTGTCATCAGGAGATGCAAATTAAAACAAAAGTGAGATGCCACTACATACCCTTTAGGGTAGCTAATATAAAGACGGACAATACCAAGTGTTGGCAAGGATAGGGAACAACTGGAATTCTCATATATTGCTGATGTAAAATGGCATAACAACTTAGGAAAACCATTTGACCATTTATTAAAAAGTTATATAGCTACCATGTGATGCAGCCATTCCATTCTAAATATTTACCCTAAAGAAATGAAAGTGTATGTTCATACAAAAACTTGTACATGAATACTTATAACTTTTTTTTTTTTCTCGAGATGAAGTCCCGCTCTGTTGCCCAGGCTGGAGTGCAGTGACGTGATCTTGGCTCACTGCAAATAATACTTCCGGGGTTCAAGGGATTCTCCTGCCTCAACCTCCTGAGTAGCTGGGGTTACAGGTGCCTGCCACCATGCCTGGCTAATTTTTGTATTTTTAGTACAGATGAGGTTTCGCCACATTGGCCAGGCTGATCTCCAGCTCCTGATCTCAGGTGATCCACCTGCCTCAGCTTCCCAAAGTGCTGGGATTACAGGTATGAACCACCACACCTGGCCTTATTTATAATCTTTTTGTTTGTAATAGTCAAAACTAGAAACAACTCAAATGTCCATCGACAGATGAATTACCAAACACGCCATGGTACATTGATACAGTGGAATAGTGTTCAGATATAAGAAGAAACAAACTATGAATTCACACAGCAAGGATGAGTCTCAAAATGGTTATAAGTGAAAGAAACTGGCTCAAAAAACAAAACAAAACAAAAAACTACATCTGTATGATTCCATTTACATAAAATGCTAGAAAATGCAGACTAATTTATAGAGACAGAAAGCAGATCAATGGTTACCTGGGGTTGGGGTGGAGTATAGGGGATGTAGCACTAAAAAGGGACAAGAGGAAAGTCCCAAAGGGTGTGTTGGGAATGCTCGGTATCTTGGTTGCAACGGTAGCTACACATGTATATACATCAATCAAAATTCGTTGAACTGTACACTGTAAATAGATACAGTTTATTGACATAAATTATAGCTCAATAAAGCTAGTTTAAAAAGAAAAGAAAAACAAGCCTTTGTTTAAATCCTGATGCCAGGAGTTATTCAAGCTGAGAATAATAGCATAACATAATGGGCCTTAGAAGTGTCTTTGCTTTGGAAAAAGTGTTTAAATGGACCTCTCAGCCATGTAAGAACAAACCCCTGTCTTATTCTTGAATGGAGACTCTAGGACAATAAGCAGCTTATCTGCTGGGCGATCATACAAAAATGTTTTGTTTTCATCAAGGTCAGGGTTAAAATTTAAACCCAAAGGCCAGGTATGGTGGCACACGCTTGTAATCACAGCACTTTGGGAGGCTGTGGTTGGGGATTGCTTGAGTCTAAGAGTTTGAGACCAGCCTGGACAACATGACAAAACCCCATCTCTTCTGAAAATACAAAAATCAGCCAAGCATTGTGGTGTATGCCTGTAATCCCAGCTACTTGGGTGACTGAGGCAGGAGGATCACTTGAGCCCTGGAGGCAGAGGTTGCAGTGAGCTGAGATCGTGCCACTGCACTTCAGCCTGGGCGACAGAGTGAGACTCTGTCTCAAAAAAAAAAAAAAAAAAAAAAAAAAACTTAAACTCAAAACTCTAGCCACAACTCACAAGGTATCATTAGTTTATATTCCTCTGGCTGGGGCTAGACACAGTAGAGTTGGGGCCCTGGACTTTAAGGAGGGAAAATTAGATTAAGAAGACCCAAATCCAAGCAGTAAAGCTGGTTCCTGACACATGGTGAGAGGTGAGGGGCTGAGGAACTAGAGAGAGGGTGAGAAAGGGAACTGAGAAGTGGGGCCTGCCCAATGAGTGGCCAGGAGCAGAGAGATCAAATCAGCTGTTCTAAGTTTTCTCTTTTCTGTACTTTATTGCCAACTCCCCAACACACCAGTCACCCACAAGACTTCAGTAAAGTTAGGTTAAATGCCATGATGTGATGTCCATTGTGCTTGGGAACTTTATTGGGGGCTGTATCCAGGTAGAGTCACAGAAGCTTGGAGATGTGATTACAAAGTTGCTAGACATGACCATCAGAGAGGCCCGGAATGGTAGTCCCCAGCATACAGTGACAAAAGTTAAGCAACTAATAATTTTGGGAAACATGTAAGTCCTCTTCAGGGATTCTCAGAACTACAGCTGGAGGAAAGTGGTTTCCTGCACTCATATGTGGGTGAGTAGAGCACAGTTTGTTATTGAATGTTTAATGGAATGGTGACCTCCTAAAAGATGGCGGCTTGGAGACATTTGAGATATCAAGAGATTAACCAAACTCATGTGCCACCAACCTCACAAGGATATTTGGAATGTCCTGACTTATTTTGGGCTTTGAGTCAGAAAAATGATTCGTAAGGCCAGCTCCACCTCTTCTATCTCAAAAGCTCGGAAGAGATCTATGGTATTTGGCCAAATGCTAGCTATAATTGCCTTTCTGTGGTTTGACGTCAATTAATGACTGGACTTTGTACCCGAAAGACAGTTAAAACGAAAGGTAGCCAGGAAGGGAAATCATTTCCTCCTCAGATTACCAAGCAAGAACAGCTAAAATGAAAGCCATCATTCATCTTACTCTTCTTGCTCTCCTTTCTGTAAACACAGGTAAGGAATATTTTTACATTTTAATTCTTCCAATCATGTATGTTGTCTTTGAGGTAGAATCAGCAGGCCTATAGCTACCAATTCTCCCAGCCCAGCACATGGTCTATTTTATAAATGAAGTTTCCTCTCCAGCTCAGCTCAAAGACACAGACATTTTATCCTGTGATGGGGAAGATAGAGCAATAGCAAAAGTGGTCTGTGGGCTGGGCGCGGTGGCTCACGCCTGTAATCTCAGCAATATGGGAGGCCGAGGCAGATGGATCACTTGAGGTCAGGAGTTTGAAACCACCCTGGCCAACATGGTGAAACTCCATCTCTACTAAAAATACAAAAAAATTAGCCAGGTGTGGCGGTGGGCACCTGTAGTCTCAGCTACTCAGGAGGCTGAGGCAGAAAGAATCGCTTGAACTCGGGAAGTGGAGGTTGCAGTGAGCTGAGATGACACGGAGTGACAGAGCGAGACTCCATCTTGTAGGGGTGGGGGGAAGAAGTGGTCTATGGAGTGAGATCTGGGGGCTCAGCAAACCAGAGGTTTCTCTTTGAGAGTTCCTGAGGCCAGATAAGAAGGACTAAGTAGGTTGCAAGGACCCAGTTCTCTACTATAGCGTTCTGGATCCCCTCTCATGATAATCAGAGAGCTGACCACAGCAAAAAGCCTCCTTTCACAAATGTACTTGAATTTGAGAATGCTAAACCATAGGGAGTAATTGTCACGTTGATTAGACTTCAGACATGTACTCTCTGTTCTGAGTTAGGAAGGGTTCTATGGGCCACATGTGGGTGAGGTCAGCAGTATGTTGAGAGGTGAGGGTTGTGGAGGCCAATTGGCTTCCTAAAATTTTGCAGAAAAATCACTGGCATGAAGTAGATGGACTAATAGGAAAAAAGGCATACAACTGTATTTAATGTGTGTACCCAGGAACCTTCAGCATGAACACCCAACTTCCTGATGAGGTATAGAAGCTTATACACCATCTTGAGGTTACAGAAAGAAAGGGGGCTTGGATCTTGGTAAAACAAGTTATGGAAGAAGGGAGAAGAGGAATTCTGTTGAGGGGCAATAAATGATTATTAGGGAGAATAATTGGATCTGGGAACAAAAATGAACTTGTAGATAATTCTCCTTGGAATTTAAAGATCCTTGGAGACAGTCCTTATCTTGATGAAGGGTCAGCTCAGGGGTGGTTTCCTTCTCGGTCTTCTTTCCTGTAGTGGATAATGACATAACAGGGAGGGGAACAGGAGCAATAGTTCTTCTTTGGTGGATCAGTCCTTACAGCGCTTGTTGACCTCTAAGAGTTTTTAATTTAAAATACTCATTATATCATGGAGCTATATTTGGGGGTGAAATATTTTTATTTCCTTCAGGTTCAATGAGTTGAAATCTAGAAGCTGCTTGCAGAAAGGAAGAAAGTATTTGATAAGGCAGATGTATGAAGAGAAATTAAGCCCTTTCAGAGAACTGGAATGAATGGCATCAGGATTAGAGTTTTTTGAGAGCTGGTTTCAAGCTCTTAATGCTGGAAGGTTGGAGAAGGCTAGCTGCACAGGAGGGGAGGGCTCACCAGATCTCTCCTGCCAACCTTGGGGGCAGATGCTAGGTCCAAGCCTTCAGGACAAAGGAAGAATTGGTGAGGCTTGTATGACTTTCAGGAGCCACTGTTAAAAAAGGCTTGACTTTTTAAAAATAGAATAGAAGGGCGGTAGAAAGGGGAAAGTTGGCTGGGAGGGGACAAGGAGATGAATAGAGAGTTAAGGGAATCAGGAATCATTGAGGCTCAAGGGACCTTAGGGGAATGGAGATGTTTCTTGACCCAGAGAACCCAGGGGGAAGGGCAAAAGTAGGGCAAGCAGGGATTCAGATGGCATGCCACCACTTATTAGCTGTGGGGTGTCTCTGACCCTCAGTGTCTTCCTGTGTAGCAATAGAGGGGAAATCCCTATACTGAAGAGTGACTGAGAGGATTAAATGAGACAAAGAGCCTGATGTGCCGGGATACTGCCTGGCACATAGGGGCTTAATAAATGATTTCCCTTTTTGTCATGTCTGCACTTGGATCTGATTTTCTTTTCTTTCTTTCTTTTTTTTTTTTTGAGACCGAGTTTCACTCTTGTCGCCCAGGCTGGAGTGCAATGGCACGATCTCTGCTTACTGCAACCTCCGCCTCCCAGGTTCAAGCGATTCTCCTGCCTCAGCCTCCAGACTAGCTGGGATTACAGGCACCTGCCACCACACCTGGCTAATTTTTGTATTTTTAGTAGAGATGGGGTTTCACCATGTTGGCTAGGCTGGTCTCAGACTCTTGACCTCAGGAGATCCACCTGCCTTGGCCTCCCAAAGTGCTGGGATTACAGGCGTGAGCCACCACGCCCAGCCTGGATCTGATTTTCAAACTTTGGTTTTGATTTCCTCTTCTTTGTTTAAAAAAGTTATACAAGTAATGCAGACCCACTGTAACAAATCCAAACAATACAGATGTATATGAAATAAAAATTGAGCATCCAATCTGACTTCCCACCCATCTACCTCCAGATATATTAATACTGACAGTTTTGTGGCTACTAAGGTTTGCTTTTGAAAAAAATATTTATTTTATTATTTATTTATTTATTTTGAGACAGAGTTTTGTTCTTGTTGCCCAGGCTGGAGTGCAATGGCGCCATCTTGGCTCACTGCAACCTCCGCCTGCCAGGTTCAAGCAATTCTCCTGCCTCAGCTTCCCAAGTAGCTGGGATTACAGGTGCTCACTACCACACCTGGCTAATTTTTTTGTATTTTTAGTAGAGACGGGGTTTCACTACATTGGCCAGGCTGTTCTCGAACTCCTGACCTCATGATCCGCCCGCCTTGGCCTCCCAAAGTTCTGGGATTACAGGCGTGAGCCACCGCGCCTGGCCTTATATTACTTTTTGAGATGGAGTTTTGCTCTTGTCGCCCAGGCTGGAGTGCAATGGCACTATCTCAGCTCACTGCAACCTCTGCCTCCCAGGTTCAAGTGATTCTCCTGCCTCAGTTTCCCGAGTGGCTGGGATTATAGGTGCCTGCCACCACGCCCAGCTAATTTTTGCATTTTTGGTAGAGATGGCGTTTCATCATGTTGGCCAGGCTGATCCCAAACTCCTGACCTCAGGTGATCTGCCCGCCTCGGCCTCCCAAACTGCTGGGATTACAGGCATGAGCCACCGCGCCTGGCCTGAAAATTTTTAAAAAGTTGCTTTTTTTTTTTTTTGAGACAGAGTCTCGCTCTGTTGCCAGGCTGGAGTGCAGTTGTCACGATCTTGGCTCGCTGCAACCTCTGCCTCCTGGGTTCAACCAATTCTCCTGTCTCAGCCTCCCAAGTAGTTGGGACTACAGGCGTGTGCCACCATGCCCAGATAATTTTTGTATTTTTAGTAGAGACAGGGTTTCATCATGTTGGCCAGGATGGTCACAATCTCTTGATCTCATGATCCACCCACCTCAGCCTCCCGAAGTGCCGGGATTACAGACATGAGCCACCGCTCCTGGCCTGAAAATTTTTAAAAAGTTGCTTTTTAATGTAACGTTAAGGATTTTGGAGGTGTGTGTAAGGAATCACTACTTCAAACATGAGTTCCATCTCAGATTCTGAGCAACCAAGGGCAGGAAGTGTGTCTTGTACACCTTTACGTTCCTCCTCACCCCTATGCCTTGTATAGCACCTTGACTGCAAGAACCCCCGCACAAGCATTTACTGAAACAAATGAAAAATGTGCCAGTGACATTTGAAGAGCCTTTAACAGGCAAAACTTCCCAGGTTGTTTTTGCTTTCTCTGAGAGACTAGGACTGCATTATTCCACAGAATCTGATGAGTGCCTTTGGGAACCAACATCTCATCATAATGAAGAATTCAGATCTGGGAGAAAGGCGTTTGATTGTGACTTTCAGCTAGCTTTGAATAAAGCAGTTATAGGTGTGCCCTGGACAGGGGTGGTGATTATGGAGTGTTCCCCAGAAAGAAACCAGGTCAGGGCATATATTTTCCCATTGAAACCTATGATTTGTACCTCTGTGGACGTTGTGCTATCCTTGTGTTATTTAGAAGCTTTAGGACCTAAGGAAATAAAAAGACTAAAGTTATTTCTACTGCACAGATGTCTTCATATATTTCTGTTATCTATAGATTGAACAAAATAGGTTATTTTACAGTTCCTCTTGGGTATTTTTACTAGATAATTTAAGCCTGGGATATCAGCTCTAAGCTGTCTTCCCTGAAATCTATACAACCCTCAGATAAAACACATATATACACATAGACACACACAAGTGTATTTTAGTTTAAAAAAAAATCGTAGCTATTCACAGCAATGAATTGCTGTCAGCTTGGAATGTGTCTCATTTATTAAAACTAATTGAGCATTCTGAAATGTATTCTCCCTAGTGAACAGAAATTTAAAACCAAAATAAACAAGCCACCAAGTCCAAAACTCCTTGTCATAATTCCAAAGACCTGCAAAAACCTCTCAAGAAGTCCCAATTTGTTTTATGCACATCTACAGAAACATGTTGGTTCTTTGGCATCGGCCGAGAATGAATATTCCCAAAGCATGAAATTCAGGGTCTGGTGGGGTTGGGGTTGTTTGCACCCACAGTCTGCCAAGTCCTTTTCTTCTGTCCAGAGTTTTCCACAGCGAGAGCCAGCCCCTGGCCACTCTCACTGCTACTCCGATGATAGAGGGCACCGTGGAGGTCACTTCTATTTCCACCGCTTTCATTCTGATCCCCAATTTTCTCTATTTGCTTTTCTTGTGTTTGTTCCTCGGGGGTCTTGGCTTTTTCATTAAATGGATGGCCTTCCCCATAACTTTAATCAAGTGATAGTTAGGACATTGTCATCTCACAGACCTGGCTTTGCCTCTGGGCAAATTCCTTAACCCTTCTGAGTATTGGTGGGCTCTTCTGTCAAATGTGGGCACTTATGTCTACTTCACAGGTACAGTCGGGCACAGGGCCAGTGCTTGATAGATGAGAACTATCCTGAGTGGCAGGAATAGGAAGACTGGCAGTCAACATTGCCAGTTGCTGATGTATTTCTTACCTAGGAAGAGCAATTGCTGATCTCTTCAACACTTCTGAATGGCTATGTTAGCCAAGCCCTCTTCAAGGTGAAGAATCAGGCTCTGCCCTCAAGGGGCTCATAGACCCATCGGGGAATCAGGAAGCATATTCTGCAGTTCTCTGCACCCTAAGGTTTAGAAATTGCTTCCTCACTAAACCTTTTTCTTTCAATAATTTTTTTAACCTATTGTCAAGGTCAGAGTTCTTAGAGACAAGGAAAAGTTCTAGAAAACTTATCACTGGGCCAGGCAAGGTGGCTTACACCTGTTATCCTAACACTTGGGCGGCCAAGGTGGGAGGATCACTTGAGCCCAGGAGTTTCAGCGCTGCAGTGAGCTATTATGGCACCACTGCACTCCAGCATGTGTGACAGAACAAGACCATGTCTCTAAAAAAAAAAAATAAAATAAAAGAGTGGGGGAAGAAAATGGATCACTGGATCCCTAGAGTTTACTACTCCATGTGTCCAGGGGTTCCTAAAAGTTGTGAAAATGCGACTTTGATATCCATCATAGCTCAGAGGGCAAAGATCACTTATTCATCTTACTCTTAGTCAATGTATCTAGAATTGTGAATGGGAAAACACTACTAGAATAAAATTTTGGAAGAAGTATAATAAGCACTTAATGAGGTATTTTTATTTTATTATTCTTTAAATTACCCAACCCTAACCTTTCCCTCCCTCAATCTATCAAGGTAATGAAAAAATGGGACAGTTGCCTTAAAGTGCAGAAAGACAAAAGTAGTCCATTTCTGGGTAGTCACTGCGCCACCTTGTGGCATTCTCAATTGTCCTCACTGAGAATGGTCTGAAGTATATTAAACCCTGATCTACAGTTACGTGACTACAGGCATAAATAATATTACTTCTTAGTATTCAACTTAAAAAACATTAACTCTTCTGCGGGACTGGTGGGTCACATCTGCAATCCCAGCACTTTGGGAGGCTGAGGCAGGAGGATCATTTGAGGCCAGGAGTTAAGAGACCAGCCTAGCCAGCATAGTGAGACCCTCATCTCTAAAACACACAAAAAAATTAGCCAGCCATGGAGGTGTTACAACTGTAGTCCTAGCTATTTGGGAGGCTGAGGTGGGAGGATTGCTTGAGCCTAGGAGCTCAAGGCTGCAGTGAACTATGATCACACTACTGCACTCCAGCCTGGGTGGCAGAGCAAGACCTTATTCCTAAAATAAATAAATAAACATTAACTCTTTATTTGTCACATTTTTCAATAACATTTTTTCCAGTTTTGTCTGTTTAATTTTTAATGTTATTTATTGTGGGTTTTTTGTGTTTAGAAATAACCATGTATTTTAATTTTTAATGTAGTCATATATTTTCATTTTTCCAGAAAAGAATGAGTTGAGGCTGGGCATGGCACTTCATACCTATAATCTCAGCACTTTGGGAGGCCAAGGAGGGTGGACTGCTTGAGCCCAGGGGTTTATGACCAATCTAGGCAACTTGGGGAAACCCTACCTCTAAAAAAAAAAAAAAAAGAATGAGTTGGATATGATTTAGTATTAAGTAACTGCCATTAGTTATTCAATGTACTGTCTCCTCAAACTTGGTATCTTTGTTCCTCCAGCCACCAACCAAGGCAACTCAGCTGATGCTGTAACAACCACAGAAACTGCGACTAGTGGTCCTACAGTAGCTGCAGCTGATACCACTGAAACTAATTTCCCTGAAACTGCTAGCACCACAGCAAATACACCTTCTTTCCCAACAGCTACTTCACCTGCTCCCCCCATAATTAGTACACATAGTTCCTCCACAATTCCTACACCTGCTCCCCCCATAATTAGTACACATAGTTCCTCCACAATTCCTATACCTACTGCTGCAGACAGTGAGTCAACCACAAATGTAAATTCATTAGCTACCTCTGACATAATCACCGCTTCATCTCCAAATGATGGATTAATCACAATGGTTCCTTCTGAAACACAAAGTAACAATGAAATGTCCCCCACCACAGAAGACAATCAATCATCAGGGCCTCCCACTGGCACCGCTTTATTGGAGACCAGCACCCTAAACAGCACAGGTAAGGACAATTCCCTCAAAGACTCCCCAAGGATGGAGAGTACAATTGTGGAGGGAGGGAGGTGGGTATGTTCTGGTGGGGTAGGAAAATGGGTCTAAAGAGGCCCAAGGTTTCTTTGGAAATGAACTGTGGGCTTGAAATCTGTGTCACAATGTAGTGACAGCAGAGGCCCTAAAATCCTCAGTTTCCTTCTGTTCTCCTTTCCTTCCCTCCCATCCTACCTCAAGTTATTTGCTAGCTGTGCAGTATTTTTTTTAATGAACTTGGGCTTTGTGAAAGGTAGCTCTATAGCTTTCCTCTCCCTAGGGGATTTTTAGAAATAGTTTCAGCTGCTCTGAGAAGACCAGGTCCAAATAAGCACAGACTGTCCAGCACCACTGGTCTAGCTCTCTGGTCTACCTAAGGAAGAAGTCAGTTCTACCCTTGTAAGATGGTGGCTGATCACAATGTGGAACTTGAGCCAAGTCATAGAATTTGAGACTGAGGGGTAGAAAGCAAAACAACAGCAGTGTTCAAACAATCCTAGGCATAACCAGGGCCATTGTCCAAAGGACAGATGCTTTGGGAACACTAAGAGATGACAAGTGACCTCAAGCAGAAGTTAATGAAACAGGAACCATTTGCTTCACTTCCCCAAGCTCAGCCTATAACAGAAATCAACTACGTTTATCAGTAAAGGCTAAATGGCCTTGTGGGCCATGTGGGGTCTCTGTTGTAACTCCTGCACTCTACTATTTTAACATGAAAGCAGCCACAGTTAACAAACAAAAGGTTGGTCAGATATGACTCGTGAACCATAGTTTGCCAGCCCTTGATCTAGAAGAATCGTCACACTTTAGAGCCTAAAGAATCTAGATAAATCCTATCATTCTCAGATGGGAAATCTGGGACCCAGTGAGGGCCATGACTCACCCAGGGTCAAAGATCAAGTGGATGTCTCCCTACCCTTAACTTCTGGTAGCTTCCTCAATGTTCTTTGATAGATTTAAGAAATAGATGGTTAAGCAAGTAGACCCCAGAGGCTGTATCTAAGACCTCTTTCCCCAATCTTTCATGTTTGGAGGGGCCACTCTGAAGGCGGGATCCAATGGGACACAGCTGTCCTGGGATCAGGAAAGAGAGGTTTTCTAAGCCATTTCTGCTTCGCCAGGTGTTCCCTCAGAGTCAGGCCATCTTCCTGTGTTCTGGCCCTACCATGAACAAACTGTGGGGCATGGGGCAAGTCATTTCTCTCTTGGCTTCAACTTAGTGATCTGCAATAAGGCGAGACTGAACTAAAAAGCCCCCCAAATCTCTTCTGGCTGTAACATCCTGTGACTTAATCAATTCCTGGCCATGAAACAAGTTAATGAGTCTGTCCTTCGTTGCTGAAGAGAAAGCACCTCAGAGTTGTTTGTCTGGTGTCTCCAGAAGGAGACACATTCTTCCTTAAGATTTCCCAAGTCATCTTTGCAAGGTGGCTGAGGCTTTTCTTAAAGAAGCCATTAATTTTATTTAGAAGACTGGTTCATACTTTGTCAGAGGGGTGACGCTTATTTTTGTTTATAAGATACTGAACTATGCCTCCTTTTATCCCATATAGTCTATTTTTTTTCTCTTTAAAAAATTGTTAATGGAAGCCGAGCATGGTGGCTCACGCCTGTAATCCCAGCACTTTGGGAGGCTGAGGTGGGTGAATTGCTTGAGCTGAGGAGTTCAAGACCAGCCTGGGAAACATGGCAAAACCCCATCTCTACAGAAAAATACAAAAATTAGCCAGGTGTGGTAGCATGCACCTGTAGTCTCAGCTACTCAGGAGGCTGAAGTGGGAGTATCACTCAAGCCTGGGAGGCAGAGGTTGCAGCCAGCCAAGATTGTGTCAGTGCACTCCAGGCTGGGCAACAGAGCAAGGCCCTGTCTCAAAAATATAATGTTAATGAACTTTATTTTTAGAGCAGTTTTAGACTCACAGCAAGATTTAGAGAAAGGTACAGAGGTTTCCCATATACTCCCTGGCCTGACACATATATTATCAACATCCCCCACCAGAGCAGTGTGTTTATTACAATTGATAAACCTCCAGTGACACATCATTATCACCTACAGACCATAGTTTACATTAGAGATCACTCGTGGTGCTGTGCATTTTATGAATTTGGACAAATAAATGTATAATGGCATGCATCCACTATTATAGGATCACAACCCTAAATATCTTTTGCACTTTTCATCCTCCCCTCTAACTCCTGGCAACCACAGATCTTTTTACTGTCTCCACAGTTTTGCCTTTTCCAGAAAGTCATATAGTTGGAATCATACATTATGTAGCCTTTCGAGATTGGCTTCTTTTACATAGTAGCATGCATTTCCTCCATGTCTTTTCATGGCTTGATAGCTCATTTTTTAGTGCTGAATAATATTCCATTGTCTAGATGTACCAGTTTGTTTATCCATTCACCTACTGAACGGTATCTTGGTTGCTTCCAAGTAGTGGCACTCATGAACAAAGCTGATATTAACATGGATGTGCAGGCTTTTGTGTGGACATAAATTTTCCACACCTTTGGTTAAATACCAAGGAGGGTGACTCTCAGATCTTCTCGTAAGAGTATGTTTATTTTTGTAAGAAACCACCAAACTTTCCTCTCAAAGTGGCTGTGTCATTTTGCATTCCCACCAATGAATGAGAGTTCCCATTGCCCCATATTCTCACCAGCATTATTTTACTTTTTATTTTTTAATAAAAGTAAATTAGGCCTATAATTATGGAAAAAACAGCTCAAACAGGGCAAAATCATGTACAATAAAAAATAAATCTCCCTCTCATCCTAAACCCCCAGGACCCAGACCCCCAGTTTCCTTCCCCAGAGGCAACTTCTGTGCCCAATTCCTTGTATCTCCCTCCTGAAATTACCTATGCAAATATAAGCAAATATTTGCTTGTGTATAATCCTTCCCTTCTTTTATTCACAAAAGAGAGCATGTTATACACATTGTACCTTACATACAGCTTTTAAAGAAATCAGTGGTTTCTACATATAGGTTTGTAAGACTCTCAAGACAGCTCTGAAGGTTATCAAACACATAAGCTATTCTGACATCACAGCTCAGAATCATTCCACTTGACAGAAGTGAAGAAAACTCATAGCCCAGATCACCACTGGACCACTGAGCTAACTCTCCTCCTCAGATCTCATCAGTTCCCCAGAGAAAGAAAGATGCTACACCCTGCCTGGCCTGGGAGTCTCAGCCCACAGTGTAGAACCCATTGCAGTGTTATTTTCACCATTTATTCAGATGATCCACTTAGAAAGCCAGAGGCTGGAATGTCTTCTCATGGCCTCTTAGAATTTTCACTGAGTTAATCCACATTTCTCTCCTTTACTATCCCATTCCTGTTTTTATGGCTATGTCTCCTAGGTATGCCTAACAGAATGTGACATCTAGTTTCTTTTGGAGCTTCTTGGCTGTTTCTTCCTATATGACAATTATTCATACCTTTCTAAAAATAAGATGTTTTATCTAGAATGTTTTGGGGAGCCCCACCTAGTGTTAGAGGACCATGCTTCAAGGTTCTGGAGGGACTTTGAGATCTGAAGATTCCTGACTCCTTGGAGTCAGAAGACTGCAATCTCTCTTTCTTTGGGCAAGCCCTTGTACACTAATCTCTGATCTTTACTATTGACAAGTATTATACTTGGCTCTAGAATTTCAGAAACAAACTCTCTAGAGACCTAAGCAAGCAAATATTTGTTTTTAACTCTTCCAAAAGTGTGCTGTGGAGTAACACAAGCAAGGAATGGAAAGGGCCCAGGGGGGAGGCATGAAGATGGAAAAATACGTTTCCAGTTGTTATTTATTGTCATTTCTCTGGATTTCTAATCTCTTTCTACTCCATCTAAGGTCCCAGCAATCCTTGCCAAGATGATCCCTGTGCAGATAATTCGTTATGTGTTAAGCTGCATAATACAAGTTTTTGCCTGTGTTTAGAAGGGTATTACTACAACTCTTCTACATGTAAGAAAGGTGAGTTACAAGGGATGAGCCATGGCTGAGCTCTGTATCTCACACCAAAAGTGGAATCGAAAACTCAAAATGATGGCAAAAGGAGATTCCAAAATATGAGAGATAAAGAAAATGCAGAGGCAACAAAGGCCAGCAAAGTAGAGAAAAGTGCTGTTACCTAGGGACACTGAGGCAGAACAAGGTGATCTATCAAAGACCACACAGTCCAGCAACCCTGGGAGCCTGATCTTCAGTTCTGTGTCACAAGATTTGTTTGCTCCATAACATCAGATCCCCCTCTTAGAGACATAAGAGCCCTTCAGCTCTAAAAATGGATTTCAGGAGTACATTTATACACTTGTGGCATAATGATGTTTTGATTAGATCACCAGGGTGCAGTGAAGGTCTGAGGGCTGACTGTCTGAGTTCTGTTTTTTTTTTTTTTCTGTTTTATGAATGAGAAATATCTTCATTTTCCAGAGCAGCCAATTCTATAAGAAATGAATGCATTGCATTGCCCACTGGGGTTAGGGATATACCAAAAGGCCCCCAAATGCTCATATTTTTAGCACTAATAATCTCACTCCTGGGGATTTACTCTAAGTAAGTGACCCCAAATACAGAAGAACAGTTTGTGTGTGAAGATGTTCATTGCAACTTTTTCTTTTCCTTTTAAATAATTAAAAGCACTAAGTCCAATAACAAAAAATGATTACATCAAGGAAGGGGACATGTACTTCACAGAATATTATGCAACCTTTAAAAATGATGGTTATGAGACCAGGCATAGGAGCTCACACCTGTAATCCCAGCACTTTGGGAGGCCAAGGCAGGAGGATCACTTGAGCCCAGGAGTTCAAGCCTGCAGTGACCCAGTTGTGCCACTGCACTCCAGCCTGGGTGATAGAGCAAGACCCTATCTGTCTCTCTCTCTCAAAAAAAAAAAAAAAAAAAAAGACTAGGCAACGATTTGGAAAATACCTATTATATAATAAGAAGAAAAAAAATATGGCATAAACTTGGAATTACAACAATGTAAACTGTAAATGGAAAGAAATATACCAAAATTAAAATGGTTGTGCTAGGTTGGGCAGGATGATGGGTAACTTTTAAAATATTTCCAGATTTCCTGTAGTGTCGTTATATAATGTTGGGAATTCTAAAAAATAATCTATGTTTTAAAACAAAATGGAAATGACCCTCTTTTCATCAAATAGTACAGAAAGATTCTGCTTAACTTTCAGGAAAGGTATTCCCTGGGAAGATTTCAGTGACAGTATCAGAAACATTTGACCCAGAAGAGAAACATTCCATGGCCTATCAAGACTTGCATAGTGAAATTACTAGCTTGGTAAGTATTTTCCAACTTTCCTTTCTGTAAAGCATTCTTTGTTCTAACACTGAGTTGCAGAGTGTAGAGCTGGTCTTCAGGTGGTTCACGCTCGTACCATCGTACCAGTTGTTCAAACAGTGAAATGTACCTTTACTGGTCGGTAAACAGCAGCTGTCCTGAGCGCCTCCACCGGTGCCACCACTTCTTCATTGCCCAGGCCTCTCCCCTGGGACCCTTGGACCACCCCATGGTCTTGCACCTGGAGGCGTGGCACCTGGCCTGGCATGGCAGAGGGCCTGCAGAAGCTGGCTCCAGCCATACCATACCCATTGTTTTATAAGCTATTAACACAGTTTTAAATGGACAGATAAATATCATGAAGTTTTAAAATAAATTATTTCCACAGAATGAAAGAGAAAAAATTTAAAGATGTTGTTTTTCTTTTTTATATTCAAATTTGCATAAATTTTCATACTAGTCTGGCTTTTAAAAAAATGTCTAGAAGAAGAATTACATCTGAATATCTGTTACTTATTTTTCCCATTTTCAAAAATGTTGGCATGAACAATAGTTTCCCATCATTTAGATTATTGTGAGCAAGTGCACACATGTGAGCAAGCATGAAAGGAAAGGGTCTTTCCATTCTGCAGCCACAGATGTTAGCTCTGGAAGGACCCTCAGAGCATGTCCAGCCAATACAGCTCAAAGTTCAGTTTTAAAGGAAAAAATATTAGCCTTAAATATGTCTTAGAAGTTGAGGTGGAGGCTGGGCATGGTGGCTCATGTCCGTAATCCTAGCACTTTGGGAGGATGAGGCGGGCAGATTACTTGAGGTCAGGAGTTTGAAACCAGCCTAGCCAACATGGTGACACCCCATCTCTACTAAAAATACAAAAATTTAGCCAGGCGTGGTGGCAGGCGCCTGTAATCCCAGCTACTCAGGAGGCTGAGGCAGGAGAATCTCTTGAACCCAGGAGGTGGAGGTTGCAGTGACCCAAGATCATGCCACTGCACTCCAGCCTGGGCAACAGAGTGAGACTCTGCCTGGAGAAAAAAAAAAGGAAGTAGAGATGGAGAGACATTTTTTTAAAGCTGAAGTCTTATTCCATGACAATGTCTCTCAATTTGAAATTATATCACTATTAGAACTGGTAACATGTAAAAAATGTATCGTGGAAATGATTTTACAGATGGTGCAAAGAGAGCTAGTGCTTCCGACTGCACAGCCAGCCAGTACGTGACAACGCTAGGATAGGATCTGTGGCTGCTGTCTCACAGAGTTTGCTCTGTCCCTTTGCCATGTCACCTCTGCCCTGTGGGCCAGCTGGCAGTGACTTGCCCTCTCATCTTGGATCTGCTTTCAAATGTGCCAGCACGGATGTTTTCAGTACATTGAAGACAGCAACATCAATGTGGTCCTACTTCCAGGGAACCCCTGAAGAACTTCATGTGGCTTTACTGAGCAATGGTCACTTAGCACTACTTTCCCCAAACTTGACTTTGAGTGTGAGTGTCACAAAAGCCCCCTCCAGTTACAGGCCTTATGCCCCGGTCTTCAGAGATCAGATTAGATACTTGATCTCAGTCAGGGTTTGATGTTCCTGGGGGAACCAGTGAGGGGATGAAGCATTCTTATAGTTTCTGGGAGATTTGTAATCCAGAAGGGATGCACCAGAACTCCCTTGCAACCATTAGAGTAGAGTTAGGAAAATAGAGACAACTTACTTTCTTCAAGGTCCTCTTAGCAGCCTTTGTGGGGGCAGTCCCAGCTCAGACCCTAAGAAGTCTCCCAGGGTCCATTTTCTACCCAGTTGGATCCTGTTAAAAGCTAGATAGAGCATTATTTTTTTCTGCCTCATTTGATTTGTAGAAAATGTGAAAAAAAAATTTTTTTTACTTGTTATTAAATCTGTTTTCCTCCACAGTTTAAAGATGTATTTGGCACATCTGTTTATGGACAGACTGTAATTCTTACTGTAAGGTAAGTTTGTTATGGACAATTTTGGAGGCAGATGTGTGTCTGTCTAACTTCCGAGCTTCTCTTGAGGTCTGCATGTAACATTAAGGCCCTCTGTGGCAAGTCACAAGTTAAGAGGAGAGGGTCAGTCTCAGTCTGAGCACTGCAAAGGGGACTGTGTGCCTTGGCCCTGCCTCTGATGTCACCCCAACTCTGGGCAGGGCATGGCCTGGGGAAGGCAAAATTCTGTCTGTGATTGGCTATGCAACAACTTGTGCACATGGTCCAGGACATCATCTGGATCTCTTTGTTTGTCTTGATCCCATGGCTGCAAACCATATCTAGTCAATCTCTGGAATGTGCATTCCAGTGGGCCGGGGGGAGACTGAATGGCCCGTGATCATCTCTTCCCTCATATGGCAAGTGTGAGGGGGACAAGAACACCCAAATCACACTCCTGGCTAGAGAAGGGTCAGTGGTGAGCTTTCTGCAGTGAGAACAAGCACTTATTGAGCACTTCAATATGTAATGGCAAGTGCTGGGTGCTATTTAGGGAAACAAAGAGGCAGAAGATTCTCAAGAAATTAGCAATTGCATCTCAGCCTCCTCTGGAGCACATTAATACACACGTACTTAGGCTGAGGAAAGAATGCTCTAAGACAGATGAAGTTAGGTAGGAAAAGCAGCCCTCGTGTAGCAATGCACCATTTACATCTTAAGTCTTACTATTGTATTTATCCTTATAAGCCATATCAAATCCTTTGTGAAGGCCAGACATGGTGGCTCACATCTGTAATCCTAGCACTTTGGGAGACTGAAATGGGAGGATCACTTGAGGCCAGGAGTTCAAGACCAGCCTGAGCAACATAGTGACATTACATCTCTACAAAAAAAAAAAAAACCATTTTTTTTTTTTTTTTGAGATGGAATCTCACTCCTGTCATGCAGGCTGGAGTGCATTGGTGTGATATCAGCTCACTGCAACCTCCACCTCCCAGGTTCAAGCGATTCTCCTTCCTCAGCCTCCCAAGTAGCTGGGATTATGGGTGTGCACCACCACGCCCAGCCTAATTTTTGTATTTTTAGTAGAGACGGGGTTTCACCATGTTGGCCAGGCTGGTCTCGAACTCCTGACCTCGTGATCCACCCGCCTCGGCCTCCCAAAGTGCTGGGATTACAGGTGTGAGCCACCACTCCCAGCCTAAATAAAAACTTTTAAAAATCTTTGGTGGAATAAGAGAGAGAGAGAGAGTATGTGTATAAAATTTCAGAGAGGTATTTTAAAAGTGATGGATTTCTAGCTTGGTCTTGAATGAAGGGCAAGTCTGGTTGGCAGTGAAGAGGCACAGTTTTCATGGTGGGAGGCTGGCAGCAAACAGACAGGCTGGGCCCAAACACAGTGGCTCTGAAGCTGGAGGTGTACAGCGGACAGCTGCTGGAGGGCTGTGAATTGTTTCTGGGAATTAGGTTTGGTTTAGTGGACAATAGCCAGTTCATGTGTAGGGGATGACTGGATACAAACAGGAATGGTGAAATTGGAATGGAGTTAGCTAAGCCTGTACTTGAATCCTGGCCTTGGCACTTTGTCCCTGAGTGACCAGGCAGGTGTTCTAACCTCTCGGAACCTTTGTCACTGCCTCTGTATAATTGGGATAATCTGATCAACTTCCCTGGAGCCTTGTGAGGAGTAACTGAGATAAAATTTGGAAGATTCCCTGTATGCAGTGCCTGGCACATAGTTGATTTCAACATCATCTGTTTCCTTTCTAGAATATGGGACCCTGCAGTGTGATGGACAGCTGGTCCCACAAGGTCATTTGGGGGATCCCCAAAACTGTGGCACTCCTTTGATTCTTAAGGAGTTACTAAAAGGGAGCCAAGGGTGTTTGGAGGCAAACCTTCACCTGTGAGCTCAGAGGCATGGAGGGAACTACTTCCCCCACCTCAGGGGCCAGTGCAGGGCAAATGCACCTGGGGCTCACCTAGAAAGGCATTTCTTAGGCTCCAGCCCAAAATTATCTCTCCACTCTGACTCCCCAAGCTCTTTCAGCCCCAAATTGTCTCTCCCCTCTGACTCCCCAAGCTCTTTCCTACTATAGCAATGTTGGAATTGGAAGGATCCTCAGAATTTCTCTCTTTAAAACCTCTCTTTGGACAGAGGAAGAAACTCGGGCCTGGAGAAGCTGACTGGTCTCGGGCCACAAGGGTCCGGACCTCCTGTCTTAACTCCAAGCCTAGTGCCCTCGTCATTTATACTCAAGTGTGCAGTGGCTCCAATGTTCCCTTTAACCGTTTCACAGGTGTAACGTCTTGCCTCTCCTGAATTAGTGTATAAACTGGTAGATTCTTTTAATGAATAAATTATGGATGGCATTTGCTTTCCTAGTCCCAGTGCAAAGCTATGCCATATATTTCAACCAATATAGAATAATTTTTATCAAGTACACCTTTCTCACTGCCCTATTACATTCCACTGCCACTCCCTGCCGCCTCCCCCGCCCCCGCCCCCGCCCCACCAAATCCCATCATAAATGAATTATGGTAGAAAATATTAAATTACAA